>NT_187540.1:0-220246 GCF_000001405.40 Homo sapiens | reverse complement strand
GAATTCCACTGAGTTCTACTTTGATATTAGTAGCTGAAAATCTGTTTTGTACATTTTTTAGCTTTATTAAAACTCACTATCTTGATACTGAGTCACGTTTGTCTTCCTAATGTACATTCCACTGAAATAGCACTTCAAGGACAACAGACTGTTCCACCGAAGAATAAGAGTGCACCAAGTGACAGATTGCAGACACTTGGTATTGCTAGATTATTAAACTCCTTATCTAAATTGTTTACATGTCAAGTTTCTTTGGTAGCCCAGAATAATTTAGATAAATGAGCCTCCCCATGGTAATTACATTTTCTTAACAACATTTTGGAGAATGTACATAAAAGGTAATAATAGCTCCTACCAGCGCCCTGTCCTGCAGCATGTCACAGCCCCAGTCTCTGATAGTGTCTGACACTTATTACTTAAGTCATATATTTCTGAAAGCAGAGACCTCTGCAAGGTCTTTTCCTGAATGATACTGTCTCAAGCTGCAAAGAGTCAAAAATCTGATTATGTTTCCAACTTTCCATGGATGTCATATGCATTGATGGGAATGGCTAAACTTTCTGAATAAGGAATTATTAAGTAGGGAATATGAAATAGAATCTCTAAAATGGGAGAATTTTTTTATGTCCCCATTTTAAGATACTGCTATATCCCTTGGGGAAGTTATCCTCCCCACTCCCCACAAGAATCTCCACTCTTCCTGCAGTAGCAACATACGGATATTCATGAGCAAGTGTTTTCTCGCTCGGGTACTTAAGGACATGAACATATTCAAAAACATCATTCCACAGCTTCTCTTATCAAAAGAGAAAATTATTGACTTGCAAAAATTATACTGCTATTTCCCATGGACATGCATTGTCTTAAAAATTCTACCAGGTGGAATTTTGCTATACTATAGTTTCGAACATCTGTGTCCCAATATATGCTCCACAGAGCACTAATCTTGTGCCATGGTGCGTATATGTGTGTGTGTATCTGTATACAAGTTTGCGAAACTCTGTAGACAACATATTCTTCTATTAAATTTGTGACATGTATTAACATACTTGAGACCATCTGAGAAATCTCCCAGTAGTATATCTGTATCTATATACGATTCACTGTTTATCAAATTCAGTTCACTGTGTGTATCAGTCATGTCCCAATCAGGAGATAGAAACCACACAGTAATTTGAACTGGGAAGTTGAATATAAAGGATTATTAATTACAACAGGGTACTGGAGTAAAAATTGGGATTGGCGCATAAAAAATGAAGAGAAGTATAAAACACAAAGACGTAGCAGATAAAATCATCCATGAGTGCCCAAGGAAAGTCTTATACTCTTGCTCAGCGTTGAGATTCGTACTTTTCTACTTGGGGAGAGTACAGTTTGTGAAAGTTTTCTATTTTCTATTAAAAGTTAAATAGGAAGTTTAATTTTCTCTTAAAACATGTTATCTTTAATATCAATATACTTTTTAAGTAATTTTGGTTAGGTGAAATTATATAGAAATAGAACAGAAATAGAAGAGCAATATTTTGTGATTGGAGTAGGTATGAATCTTTTAATTTTGAAATTGTATTTCTCTCATTTACCTTTATATGATTTGGACCCTGATTACTCCTCAGAGTCTGAGCAGACATCAGTAGACAGAGTATCACTTTTCAGCACTGGTATTCTCCTTCCCCTGATGCCACCTTGAGAGGCGAATGTATTGAGGCAGTCATAGCTGAGGCAAGACCGAATACCCCAGATCAGTGCTGGAATGGGATGAGGAGAGTGGAGGCAGGGGCTCTTCATTAGGAGCAGGCTCTGGGAGGCATCAGTGAAGGGTAGGATGCCCCCAAGTTGTGGCTGTGCAACTCTGCATTAGGCTCCTTCCTGCTTTGAAACAGCTGGATTGGCTTTGGGCAAGATTAACTATTTTAGTTATTGTGGAAATTTAATAAAAATGCAGAGCTTCAGACTAGCCAGAAAGAACACAATAGGTGATCATCAATATTACGCCTCTGCTTTCTCACTTCTCGGGAATTGAACTTAGTAATTAAGGAGAGATGGGCAATCACTTAGTATGCTTTGAAATATCTCATATTTTAAGACCTGGAGCTATTGTTTTGATGTCTTTTATTATTTTCTCAATTATATATCATTTCATCCTAGCACGTAGCACTGAAAAGGTCTTCAAGCATAATCTAATATAATTTATAAAGGGAGTTAATGAAGAATAATTATTTTTACTAGTAGATTTTCCAAGCTATCTCATTACTGGGCACATTACACCTATTTTACATATTTTAAAAATTTATAAACTGAAGAAGTAAGTGTACCAACTCATGATGTATCTAAAAACTAAGCCAAAATTATACAATCAAGTTTATTCAATTAAATATATATATATTTTTATATATATGTAATTTATGTGTGTTTGGAATTATTGGAATAGCTGGAGCATATATAATAAATAAGGAATACTAGTCAACTGGTAATTCTGAGGTTTCTCATTGAGCCCTGCCCTTTCTCTCAAGTTGTCTTAGCTGTTCTGATTTTTTGGTGGAGGTCCATATGTATTTAGCCAAGTTGTCTGGTATTCTTTTAGTACATGGAAAGAAAATGGCAATCTCATCTCTTGATGGCATATGGTGACAATATTATATAGATAACCACATGATGACATTAACCATGAGTTATGTCCTGTATATCAGAGGACTATGCAAAACATCACTAGTTACAGACTTGTTCCCATAAAGCCCTAATGGTGCAAACTTTGATTGGGTTTTGAAGATCAGTAAAATTTTCAGATTTTAAGCCTTTAGGATGTCAGGGGTGAAGTGCTGGGGTGGTGATAAAAAATATCTTAATTTAATAATAACTTGGGGATGTAAATGAGCATGAGATTTCTGGCATATTGTTTGCCATATATTCCTAGAACTTTCTAGTCCAACTAAAATACAGCGTGATTAGAAGCAAACTACTCTTCATATAAATATTTTACTTTTAGATCTTTTCACCCCCTCCTCCTCCACCTCTCCTTCCGTCCTCTATCACGTCGAAAGCGTATTTCTGTATGTCTAAACATTGTGAGAGAAATCTGCTATATCGTTTGTGTATAGCTCTCTCACTCTCTCTCTTTGTGTGTATGTACCTTCTCTTGATGTGTAAAGAAGCTAGATAATATGAGAAAGAAGATTTCTACCAGTTAAAATTGTCTAACAGTGGGACAGCCTCTCTCACCCATAATGGACCTCTGTTATTTGGAGGACTTAATCATAAGGCTAATGTCTATTGTCACAATGGATTTTTTTTTTTTTTTTGAGACAGGTTCTTACTTCAGTTGCCCAGGCTGGAGTGCAGTGGCACAATTAAGGCTTACTGCAGTCTTGACTTCCTAGGCTCAGGTGATACTCCAACCTTAGCCTCCCAAGAAACTGGGACTACAGGAGTGTACCACCACGTCTGGCTAATTTTTTGTATTTTTTATAGAGATGGTGTTTTGCCAGGTTGTCCAGGCTTGTCTCAAAATCCTCGACTCCAGCTATTTGCCCGCCTTGGCCTCCCGAAGTGCTGGAATTACAGGCGTGAGCCACTGCGCCCAGCCTAGAATCGACTCTTAATTTGCACAATAACCAGGATCAAGTGACCTATGTAGTAATTTCTTCCAGCGTATAAGTTTGTGATCCTGAACAGATGCCCATTTCAGAGTAAATCTGAATCAAAATAACATTTCCACTTAGCAGATATCTAAATAAAGTTGGCTGGCACATCCGTGACTCCTACATCCCCTTTACCCATTACAATGTTTTATTAATTTTTTTCCCTCATGAAACTTATTTTTCATTATGGTATATTAATATCTCCAAGCCTCGTAGCCTTCCTTGCAAAGACCTCACCCCCAATATATATCCTGTCTGGCCGTCACTGGCATGATTTTGTGCTTTGCCAGAACCAGCCCAGTAAGCAGCTCGCTTACCTGCTGTCATTCATTCCTGAGCATGTCCTGAGTGTGCACCAACACTGGGCTATACATGGACTTAGAGTGAAACACAACACGGAACTATTTCCTCCAAGGAGGTCAGAGTCTAGAAAAAGGAGGTTTTAATTTGAAAAATTATAATATTAAGTTGCAAATGTTAATGAGGGTTTAAGAAGAAGCAGAGTATTACTGTGTTTAAGATCTGGGATGTGGCTGTTGATCTCTCCCTTTCCCAATTTAATCACTGGGTGATACTGAGCCAGGCACTTATTTTATTTTATTCATTTCTAAATAATAATATATCCGTGTTGCAATACTGAATATTTTTGACATCTTCTTCCAGCAAGGAACCAGATTTACCTCCCACCTGAAACAAATGATGAACAAGCAAAACCATAAAATAACTGTTTTTAGACATTGAGCTTCAGGCATTGAAGAACAGTGATTCTTCAATCACTGTTGATTGAACAGTGATATTGGGAAGCAAGCCAACAATTTGTGCTTCAGGGAGAGTTTTCCAAACCAATTGTTATTAATGAGTCACACATCATATCTGATTTATGATTTATTAAACTTTATGCATTAAATACTTTCCAAACAAGACAAGTTTTGTAATGTGCCATATATTATAAAATACTTTTATGTTTTGTAAAAGATTCAAATGAAATTAGAAAACTTAGTGTGTGAAATATATATTTCATTTTTAAATAAAAACTGTCAACTTAGTTTCTTGATTAAAATTAAAATTTGCAGAGTTCTGTTTCACATGTAAACTTATAGGAAACATTCATGGGAATGAAGCAGAGGCATACCTTTGCTTTTAGAATTCTTGTATTAATTCTTTTCATTCACAGAAGTATTACTAATTTATTTCATGCATCTTTTTCATTTAAAAAACACTTGAGGCTCCATAGAACACAGCAAAAATCTTTTACTGTGCATTTATGTGAAAGGACATGGTGAAATTCTCGTCACAGAAGTCTTGCATCTTAGCTGAAATAATTGCTTCTCGAATAATAATATGCTTCCAACAAATTATATTACCTAGATTAGTACTAGGGCCAGAAAATTTATAGTGGCATCTATTCTAAGTAGTCACTGGTGTATTCCTTGTTCCTTTTTAATTTATGTTAAGCCTGGTAAACTGAATGCAAAAGTGTTTCTAATAATGAAATAAGAAGATTCTGTGTCTAGTAGGATATTGTTGGTGGAAAGTGACTAAGCAAAAGGCAACCTAGACCCCAAATGATTCCTATTCAAATATACATCTGTATTTTTTTCATTAAAATTGTATTCAGTATGGGTAGGGAAAACCCTGTAGAAGGTGCTCAGATTTAAGCACTTAGCACAAAGATAAAAGTCTGTGCATCATGGAGTTTAGGTTCTGGAGGAGAGATATCATTATTTGCAAAGAGACATTATTTGCCAAGAAATAAATGCAAGGAACAAGCGTGCATGTGTGCATGCTCACACGAATGCATGAGTGTGTATATATGTGGCATCATATTGGAAGAAACTGTGGAGTAAAATAAACCAAAGAAGGGAAAGAGAAGAATCCAGTGTGAGGAAATTTATTTTTAATAGGGTGGTCTTGGAAAGTCTCATTGAAAAGTTGAATCTTGAGCTAAGATTTGAGGGGTGGTAAGACAATGAGACATAGAGATCTCCTTAAGAAGGGCTTCCCCAGGGGAGGATCCTCAAAGGCAAACTCCTGAGGAAGGCATGTTGAGTCTTTTAAAAGAGCATCATATCTGTGTGATCCAGAGTGAAGAAGAGGCCAGTAGTTCAGATGAGGTCAGAGAGGAAACAGAGAAAAAAATGATGTGGGTGGTTTAAGTGCTTTTTCCTCAAATGGAATGGGTAGTCATTGGAGAGACTTGAGCAGAGGTGTGGCATGATTTGAATTATGTTTTAAAAGGATCACTCTGGTTATTGCATTAAGACTAGACTGTAAGGCAGCAAGGGCAGAAGCAGACACCTAGTGAAGAGGCTACTGCAATAAATAGGCCATAAATCACAGCAGCTTGGCCTGCAGTTCTGGGGTGGCAGTGGTGGGAAGTACTTCAATTATGAACATTGAGCCAACACCATTTGCTGATGGACTCGATGTGGAGTGGGAGGAAAACGCCTTATTTGACTTAACCTGAGCACCTGGGAGAAGGGTATTGCCATTTACAGAGATAAGAAAGACTTTATGGAACAGAGTTGAGGAAAGGAGATTTGGAGTTTGGTTAGTTTTGAGATGCTCCTTATACATCCAATTGGCTGTGTTGATACATGAGTCTAGAGTTCAGGGAAGAGACTCAGGCTGGAGATTTAAATTTGGAAATTGTCATTGTTTACTGAGATGGAATTACCTGGAAAGCAGGTGTAGATGGAGAAGAAAAGAGGCTGAGATTTGAAAGACAGGAGTCCAGAAGACAGAAAGTGTAAGTCATTTGGGTAGGAGCAAAACTAGTACAGTGTAGTATTAGATACTATGTGAAAAAGTGTGCAAGAAATGCCTGGCCTGTTTATTAGTTGCATTTTAGGTCGTGGCTTGTGTGTAGGCTGCTGTTCTGAAAAATATTCTGAACAAAGGCAAATAACCATTTTATTTATTCTTATTATTCTTATTTTAATTTTTTGAGATGGAATCTTGCTCTGTTGCCCAGGCTGGAATGCAGTGGTGTGGTCTCAGCTCACTGCAACCTCTGCCTCCTGGGTTCAAGTGATTCTTGTGTCTCAGCCTCCTGAGTAGCTGGGATTACAGGTGAGCACCACTATACCCGGATAATTTTTGTATTTTTAGTAAAGATGAGTTCTTGTTATGTTGGCCAGGCTGATCTTGAACTTCTGACCTCCAGTGATCTACCCACCTCGGCCTCCCACAGTGCTAGGATTACAGACATGAGCCACCACACCCGGCCACAAATAACCATTTTAAATGTAGGGTATTGTCTTGGTCTGTTTGTGCTGCTGTAACAAAACAACACAGATTGGATAAATTATATATAATTTACTCCTTATGGTTCTGGAGGCTGGCAAGTCCAAGACCAAGGCACCAGAAGATTTTGTGTCTTTTGAGGGCTGCTGTCTGTTTCTAAGATAGTACTTTCTTGCTGTGTCCTCACATGGTGGGAGGAATGAAGACTGTGTCCTCACATGGTGGAAAGAATGAAGATTATGTCCTCACATGGTAGAAGGACAGAAGAGAGAAAGGCATACTCCTTCAAACGTTGTATAAGGGCACAATTCCTGTTCAGAAAGGAAGAGTCCTCATGACTTAATCATTTCTTAAAGGTCCCATGTCTTAATACTATCACATTGGGTGTTTGATCCTAACATGAATTTTGGAGGAACACATTTAGAGTATACATGGCACATGTGACCACTCTATGTGTTTCAGTATTCTAGAGTACTAACCAACAAAACATTTGAGAAATAAGTTATCAGATTACCATAATTTTTGCACTGTGTAGTGCCAAACATGTAGATTCCCCTTCCCTAGACAGATTGAGCTTATGGCTAGGGGGAAATAGATTTCCCCTCATAATAATGGAAGAATCTACTTTCCCAAATCTACAGAAAGATAATTGAGAATTTATAGCTATGTTCTTATGTATGATTGACACAAATCAGGATTGATCCATCGATTGAAGCCATATATATTGCTTATCTACTTTGTGTCGGGCACTGTGCTAGCCACTGTATAAATGGTGGTGAACAGGATATTTTCTCAGTGAGCAAACATTTGGGGAGGGAAGCAGACAATTAAAGAAGCAATTACAGTGCAGAGTGATAAATGATTTATTTCTGAAAACATGAGGAGATAAGGGTATTCACAGGGACGTGGAATCTAATCTTAAGGTCTTAGCAAACATTTCCTGAAAGCAGGACTCAAATTGTTGCTGGCCTAAATGACAATGTTCTCCAGGACCATTTGAACACATTCCTAGGTTTCGAATTTCTGTCTTGTTACGATTTTTCTAACTTGTGCTCTAGGTCATCCCATAGTTAGGGAAAAATTACTCACCCTCCTCTGCTACGTGAGACTTATCTTTATGCCTAGGCACTTTCACATTTAGTGTTTCATATGCTGCTTTTTTGGCAGCTTAAAATACAGTTTATTAGTAAGCAGAAGACATGCCTCTTTGAGAGACTGTAAAGGCTGTTGGAGCTGGCTACTGAGGGAACAACTGCTTCATTGCTTGCCCCAGAAGCAACTCATTTCAGTAGTACTGATTTGTTATTTATCCATGAGGAGGCTGAAAGGAGAAGTAAACATCTCCAGGCTAACAGTACACTGATGTCCCAGTTGCTTTGGAGCTAAGCATCAAAATTAATGAAGTTATGAGACACAATATTGCTATCCTTAGACTTCCTACTGTATAGATTCTAGGCAAATAAACTTGATAGGAATTGAGCTATTTCCATATGTATACCTCTAACCTATATAACATTTGTTTGCTGTAGATTAAGAAAACACATATTGCCAAAGCAGCACACATCAGTGATAGATTTCCTTTCACTTTACTCTTCCAGAAACAGAATTTATTTTCTTCTTTTTAGAGTGCCATCTCTCTTTTAGGGCAGAAGAGGCCTGATAATTAATTAATTATTAAATCAATTTTATAACATTTATTATATACCTGCTATGTGCCAGGTGCTTTTCTTGTAACTTGAAATCACCAAGAATAAAACAGTCTTCATCAGAATTTAACAGTTAATGTTGAACTGTTCTAAGGGGAAATAAACACTAATGAAGAAGAAAAATATTGCCAAACAAAGTTGTTTTGGTGTCCTCTATTTTCAGTTACAGAGAAGGTAAGGTAGAATATCAAAATAATAAGGTCATTTGCTTCAGATATACTAATGCAAAGATTACAGGGCCTTATTCCAAAGCAGTAATCCTCTCCATCTCTCAGAGCTGAAGGCTTATGTCTATCATTCTGCCAGAGCCAGATGCATCATAGATAGCAATTGTGTCTTTGAATGTCTCTTGTCTTTTCTCATGATCCACTGGCAGTGGCCTTACTTCGTTTTGCTGCCTTTGTAACCAATGGGTTTCCTTGCCTCTTCTCCATTGAGTATTTTATGGATGACTTCGAAGTACATCTGAGGTATCCAATTTTTCAGCCTGACTCTAACACACCAGCTCCAGACTGTTATTCACAAATGGTGTGAATGTTGTGACAGGAAGTCTAAGAAAAGAAAGGGAGCTGGGGATTTTTTTGTATAGGAAGTTTTGAAATATTTACTAAGAAGTCTGATTTTCTGGATTTGTGTTTTGATGAAGAATGATTGGTTTAAAAGGCATCTGTGATGCCTTAACCAAGAATATTAGGAATCATAGGTTTGTGAAGGCAGAGGTGTCAAACAAATAATATCCCAAATTTACTAGGTTTAGACGCAAAGTCAGACTGATTAAATAGAGAGATGGAATATTTTGACATCTCACAGGAACTTCTGTGAAGCTAAAGTGTTTACAAAGCAACTCCAGAAAGGAAAGAGTAAGGACTGAGTAGAGGAAGCTCAAAAGATAATGTAGGAAAGAGAATGTCAGGCTAGAAGTCCAAAGACCTTTGGATACTGTATGGTTAGGTCTGTTATGCTGCAGACTGTCACACACTCCTTGGGTCTCTTAAGCATGCCCTGCAAGCTGTCTCTTTCTTCACTGAGCAGAAGATATTTAATGGAACCTTTCAGTCTCCATCATCTCTTCACTTCAAAATGATAATACTTTGAAAAGTTATGTGTAAAGTGCATGTATTTACTAAATGAGCATAAAATTATATGTGAAATCCAAGAATTTAATAGTAACTTTTAGACCAACAGAGGGAAATACGGTATTTTTTTCAGAACTTTAAAGATTTAAAGATACTGAAGAGGTTAAAAAAAAAAAAGGCCCTCACTGAGCCTATGTAAAGTGATGAATTGCTCCACAAAGTGATGAATTGCTCCGCAAGCAACATGCAGAAATATTGCACTTTAGTGTTGTAACTCACTTACATTCCTAGATGATGTTCATGTAATAATAGTTCATACATGTTGAATGTCAAACACATGCCAAATATCTCACTTGTATTATTTGTAACTTTTTTCCCACAATATTTTAGGGTTATATAGATGGCTTTGAGACTCAGAGAGGCCAAGAAAATATTTTGTGGGTGAATAACTAGTAAATTGGAAAGCTGGAGTTCAGACTTTTGTTTACATGACTTCAAAACCCATTCTCTTAGTCTGTACCTCATTGGCTCTCAGGGATCTTTCTTAGACACCTCATTGTCTATGCTCTGTGATAGTTTGACCAGTTGTGTTTGATAAAAGAGATAGAGATGTACAAATCCAAATCTGCAAATCCTTGACCATGTACCATCATTCATGTAGGTTCTATTCTGATTCAGGACCTGCTTGGAGCCTTCTCTCCAACTCATATGGCATTCTCCCATCCTGACAATCTTCCCTGAGTCTTCTGCAAGTTGTAGAATTGCTCCTCCCCCTCTGCTATAAGGCCTGCATATAAAATTGGCTGAGGAATGTGCTTGGCTCTTTTCCTAAAGATTATAAAATGATCATGACCCTGTGAGGCCTTAATGCCCTACAGAGAGAAGGCCCTAAAAATCTAAACTCAAGGAAAACTGTGTTTTTCATAGTCCAGACTCATTTGTATTAAATAGATCACAACCAGATAATCCCTGAGAAATTTATTATATCAAAGTTTCTCCTTTTTGAGTTGATCTAAAGGCTAGGAAGAGCCTTGCACATACCTTTGAGGATAGATTATGTGTATGTGTATGGCTAGGAATTTACGTGTATTAATTCCTTAACCATGTATGACTGAGCTCCCATGTGACACCAAACTTTCTTTTTCTGAGCCATTTGTTGTGAGTTCTTTGTGCTTTTTTAACCTTGTCTCCTATGTTTTCCTACAAACCACGTCTCCACTAGCCATACTGAACTCAATATTTCTTCTTTACATCATTTTAGGCAAGCTGTACATTACTGGAAAGAGATGATGGGTAAATATACTAGGTGAAGGCCTAACATGTGATTTAGCTGGCTATGGGTTTAAAAGCTCATCAGAAGTGAGGTTGCTGCACACAAAAAAAGGAGAAGCAGCAGTGAATATTAGCAAAATATTCTCTAAAAGCTCTTCTTTTCTAATATGGGTCCTGGGGACCCTGTCCACTCAAAGGAGGGTCTTCAAATTTGGGAAATATATGAATTTTAGCAGCATCACAGATTTTATTTTACTGTTGTTTTGTTTTTAGTAAGTGAAATCTGAGTCCACATGCCCGAAGAACTTATATCATCTATGTGAAATCATATCTTGGAGAAAATGAATAGGATTGGGGACAGTGGCAGCAAATCTTTTCATAGACCCATTAGATCTTTCTATATTGTTAAATTTTATTCTGTAGAAATATATGTAAAACAAATGTCTAGGTAGATAGACAGTGAGAATCCTTATGGAACTTCTGTTTTTTGTTTGTTTGTTTTTGTCTGAAGACCTCACTTTCCTTACCATGTTGTTAACACGGAGAATCTTTTTAAAACTATTCCCTTGAAGGTTACACATACTGAATTGCCAATGCATATATAGTCGCAATAGTTAAAATTATGTTTAACCATAGAGTGGCACAAAAATATTACCATAGGATGTGGAAAGAGCAGAACGTAATATGCACAGTAAAATGGCAGCAATAATACATTTTAGCAAGGACTCACAAAGCTGTAACAGGCCACATCAAAGAGAACCAGATACCCATCCGCTCCCTCTAGCACGGCAGTAACCATATGATCTTGCCAAATTTGCTTTTATAATTTGAATTGACTTGTGATTTCTCTCTTCTCAATTGAAAATTCTAGTGGTTGCCCAAATGACGTGTTGAATTAAATCTGCATATCCTAACTGAAAGTAAGAAAACTTTTGGCTGAGGAAAAGGGAGCATTTTTCTTACAATGTCATTTTCTCTCCTTGCTCATTCATGTCTCTGCTGTTCAGGTATTCTGTTTCTCTTTAGAATGTGGGATTTCCTTGTTTTCTCTCCTACCCAGTGGCCAAAAACCTACTCATTTCCTGAAACTCATTGCAAATTCTTTTTAGTAACGCCTACCCTGAACACATTTTCTTTCTTCCCTATCTCCCCCGCCTCACATGCCTAAAGTGTGGCTATAACAGCCCTGCATACACTGGAATTGTTTTCATACCTCTCTTCCCAGTTGAGCTGTGACATCCCAAAATGCAGAGCTGGCTTAGATTTACTTTTACAGCTTTCTTTAGCACTAGCAGTAGATTGAATAAATGAATGGCTTTCCATAAAATAGTTCTTGTTTGTACTGGTGAAAGACTGAATAATGAGCTCAATAGAATGGTACTATGATTGAATATGAAATTTATGATCTTAAGGAGTCTAAGTTTTTAGTGCAAATCAGAACATAGATACCTTTGAAATAAAAGGCTGTCTCTTTTTGCATCAGTGATGTATACACATAAATAGAACATACACACAGGCAGTGTTCAGAGCCCCTTAACAGGTAAGCACTGTCTAAATGCACAGTCATGTCTTATGAACACAGCATATAATTTGGAGGAAATTAACTTTAATGTAGCCATGAGGATGATTTTATGTTGGTGTATTATTATGGAGACGGGCATAATTGTGTTAGCCATGTGAATGGCAAGTGCTGAGTTTACAACCATGTTTTATTGATGTAGCAGCAAAAGTATTATTGGATGTATCAGAACATTATCTGTAGGTCAGAGCTCAACACTGCAATTATGAAAACCAAATAGTGTTTGATAATGAGAAGGTGGGAGAATTTTTATGTGATTTTTTAGTTAGTTGATCAAGAACTTCAACTCTGATATATACTTGCCCCCAGAAATTACTTATAAGCAAAAATTGAGTGGCTGATTTATGCTTTCCATTAACTGATTAAAATTAGAAACTATGTTGATTATAGCTGAAGTCGAACTTTGTAAAGTGTAGCATTTAAGGTGGTGCTTCATTTAATGTTCATTTTTACTTGATACCTTGTCACCAATTGAAGTTTCTTTCTTCTTATTTTTTTAAAATTTGTTCACTATAGGAATTATAGAAATCAGAAAAATAAAACATAAACTAGAAAACATAAATTACTGTAGATCCCCTGAATGCAGAAATAATCATACATAATCTTTTGGTGACAAGTTAAGTAACTTGGCCATTATTACACAGCCATTAAAGGCAGCATTAGAGTGGAAATCCAGGTGATCTGTCACTGAATCTCTACTTTTAGGTCATTACATCACACTGTTTTCACGGAAAAAGTACTTTCTATGTAAACGTTGGAGTTAGCTCACTGAACAGTTTAACCAAACTCCGAACTAAGGCTCTAGTGTTAAAGAACAAGGAATCTAGAACTAGAAATACCATTTGACTCAGCCATCCCATTACTGGGTATATACCCAAAGGATTATAAATCAAGCTGCTATAAAGACACATGCACATGTATGTTTACTGTGGCACTATTCACAATAGCAAAGACTTGGAACCAACCCAAATGTCCATCATGATAGACTGGATTCAGAAAATGTGACACATATACACCATGGAATACTATGCAGCCATAATAAAGGACTAGTTCATGTCCTTTGTAGGGACATGGATGAAGCTGGAAACCATCATTCTCAGCAAAGTATCGCAAGGACAAAAAAACAAACACCGCATAGGTGGGAATTGAACAATGAGAACACTTGGACACAGGAAGGGGACCATCACACACTGGGGCCTGTTGTGGGGTGGGGGAGGGGGGAGGGATAGCATTAGGAGATATACCTAATGTAAATGACGAGTTAATGGGTGCAGCACACCAACATGGCACATGTATACATATGTAACAAACCTGCACGTTGTGCACATGTACCCTAGAAATTAAAGTACAATGAAAAAAAAAAAAAGAAAAAAAACAGAATGGGGGAAAAAAAACAACAGCTCCGAGTCATTCTCTTTTACTGTAAAACAAATAAAGAAAATAAAACAAAATAAGAAAAAAGTTTTCTATCACTTAGATATGAAAATCAAGAAGGCAGAGTCTAGCTTGGATTTTCTTAACATCTATTTGCTCTGAGGCTCCACTTGTCTTTGGATTTTGAATATTTTCTTTTGTTGCACTGATTTTTTTTTCAATTTATATTTTACATGAAAAAAATTGGAGAAATATGTACTGTACTTATGATGGAAAACTCTGTATGTGGTATTGAACGCAACTGGCCTAGTGCATACTTCCTGAGGGTAAGAGAGAAGTGGAGACATGTTTCAATGGAGCCTTTAAGATTAAGAAGTCCCTCTTATCACCAGTTGGTGGATGCTAGCAGATATAGAAAAGGTATTAAATAACTGGCAGTAGCCCTGTTTTTTTTTTCTTCTTCTTCTTTTTCCTCTTCTCCTTCTCCTTCTCCTTCTCCTTCTCCTTCTTCTTCTTCTTTTTCTTTTCTTCTTCCTCTTCTTCTTTTTTTTTTTTTTTTGAGATGGAGCTTCACTCTTGTTGCCCATGCTGGAGCACAATGGCACAATCTCAGCTCGCTGTAACCTCTGCCTCCCAGGTTCAAGTGATTCTTCTGCCTCAGCCTCCCAAGTAGCTGGGATTACAGGTGCCCATTCCCATGCCCACCTAATTTTTTGTAGTTTTCGTAGAGATGGGTTTTCCCCATATTGGCCAGGTTGATCTTGAACTCTTGACCTCAGGTGATTCATCTGCTTCAGCCTCCCAAAGGCTGGGATTACAGGCTTGAGCCACCATGCCTGGCCCCTATTGTTTCTTCTTTTACCTGACACAAAGATTTCTTCTTGCCACTGCTGATGAGAGGTGATGGTTCAGTACTAGACTCTACTGAACCACACAATGGATTTCTAGGGAGTCTTGGAATCACTGCATCATTTATTTATTCAGCAAATATTCATTGAACTTTTATTTTACTTAGCTCCCTTGAGATGGTAACATAAAACTTGGTCCTGATGAAGTACCATATATTCACATTTACATTCATCCTCAACACCCTCACCCCAGCTTCTTACCAGGAGAACATATAAAAATGCTGTTCTCCCCATAGGTTCTCTATGCAACGTCTGTTAGCAGCAGCTGAAACAGCAGCAGGCAGATAATAAATTTAAATTGACTCCTCTATATTTCTTCATGTTCCTCTGAGATGAAACGAGTTCATTTCAGAGTTCCTGGGTGTCTGATATAATTAGGTTTCTTTCTGTCTCCTTTTCCTTCTCCTTACTTACTTTCTGTCTTATATTCCATCTCATGTACTGAAGATGTGTATCTGTTTTTGGTTTCTAGCATCAGCTATCATCAATGATTAGCAACTGTAGGGGTTTTATTGCAGAAAATATTACTTCAATGATCACTTGTTAAGGTGGCACTTGCGTACTGAAACTTAATGATTCTTTAGCTTGTTTTGTTTGTTAGGTTCTTACCGCTGAGTGCTGTCATCTTAAAATGACAAATGCAGTGCACATTATTTATTATGCTGCTGGAGATTAGAATCCAAAAAATGCAATTGTTGACATTTGCAATTGAAATGCACTAAACATGGCAAAACAGAAACTTGAGGATCCGTGAAGGGTCCTTTGCAAATAGATTTGCTAATTAAAATAATCACCTCATTTTCTTATTTATCCATTGGCTATAGAGTCATTACTTGCGCTGTCTTGTGGAGTCATTACTTGCACTGTTTTAGTTGATTGTTCAGTTAATGTTCTTGAGTTTCTGGAATCATGAAGCTATCCACGCAAGAAGGAAGCATTGATGAAACATTAGCAAAATGAAAATTATTTTCATAAAACTTTAAGTGTGTTTGGCTTTTGAAGAAGGCATTGCTAGTTTGTATTGTCTTGCATTTAGAGAAGTTTCAGACAAGATCCGGCATGTTCAGGGTGGTATGGCCTGGCATACATTTATTTACCTAAGTAACAAAATTCCACGTCCTGCACATGTATCCTGGAACTTGAAAAAAAAACAAAAAACAAAAAAAACCTTTCAGTATTATTTTGGTTGAATACATAATTGTTAATATTCATAAAATGTTTACCAAATTTTATAATATTTGTAAAACTAGCAACCATATACAATTCAACATAATAAGCATAAATACAAATTGGCTAATAAATATTTAGGTAACATAGTGTTTCACATAACTGTGTTTTGCAGAAAATTTGAGCTCATCACTTCAGGTGTTGCAACTGCTATATTAACCAGATGAGTTGAAACTATTTCTAAATATAGTATTTTTTTCTTCTTAAGGAGAGCACACATACTCCTTTATTGAAGGCTCAAAATCATTACTGCAAATGACACTTGGTACACTGTCATGTGATAATGTGGTGTTCTCAGAAGTTATAAAGTTTGCATGCTTATTTCTGAGAATGTATGGTTTTTTATTTTTGCCCCTTTGTTAAATTGCTTTCTCTTACTTTTTCATGTTCTAAGTGATCTGTTATGACATGAAATGAACAGATTCAGAACAGAGAAGTCAAAAAGATGCCAGGATGACACTAGTGAATTGAGGCCAACTGGGTACCATAGGTCTAAGCTGGTGATGCATTAAAAGATGAAAGAGAAAAGTGACGATCACAGATTTGGAATATAAAACAGAAGTTGGAGTGAGAACTATATTAAAGAAGGAACTATTACGCAGGAGTGGGGCCAATGAAAATGACAGTGATCAAGAGCCTTGAAACAGAAAACATAGGAGGAAAAGAATTAGGTCACATAGGCTAATATGTGCAAAGTCTGATCAGTTCAACCCAGTAAAGAAAAATAAGAAGCAATCAAGAGTAAAATTAAGAACTGATAGCTGTTTGCTCTTTGCTCCAGTCCTAGGCTACCATTTGAATATAGGTGGTCATAACTTGCAAGATGGGTTTTATTTTGGGGAGGTATGGTCTCATTGGTTCTGCCATAGCCAAATTCTTACAAAAACAAAGGCTCAGCTTTTTTTGAGGGTTATAAAATGCTCAATGCTAAATCCAAGTGCATTTGATTTATTGCTTATAAGCCAGTGTATTCTAGGGAGTTATATAGTTAATATATAGCAAATTATATAGATAATATTGTGAAAATCATGTGTAAAATCTGAGTCACTAGGGCTGAAATCAAGAATCCATGGCACTCTCATTAGTCAAGTTCGTAGACTTAGTAGAGTGGTTCTCTATCCAGGGTGATATTACCCCTAGGGGACATTAGAGAATGTCTAGCAACATTTTTATTGCTACAGTGGGAGAATACTTCTGATATTTAGTAGATAGAGGCCAAGGATGCTGCTAATCATCCTACAATACACAGGATACCCCTCCAAAACAAACCAAAATATTTGGCCCAAAATAGTGCTGAGTTTGAGAAACACTATGACAATAATGAGTGTAAGAGAGAAAGGTGAGATTTGCAGGCATCCCTGAAACCCATCAGATGGGGAAATAAATTAAGAAACTCCAGTGTGGTAGTTTCACCTTTGGAAGGATAGTGGGCACACTGGCCCAGCATGAGAACTTGATTCTTTCCGTCTACCTGGGTATGGAGAGAAGTGGCTTCTGTATTTCTAAATTTACCTACACTTGAGTTCTTAATAGTCAGTCACCCCAAAAGGAGGAATGGCTATAGGAACAAAGTGACATTAATATCAGGTCACAGCCATTTGTTCCCTTCAACAAGGCCGTTTTAGCATGGGATGAGTCACCACCAGCTTTGGAGGTGAGGAAACAAATGGGTTAATAATCAGTCTGGAAAGCAGAAAATGTGATCTAAATTGACTCACTCGTTGGGGGTAAACATGTCCATCAGACCATCTTATAATTAAGCTTTCTAACTTTACCCAGTAACTCCTCATTACAGGGTTTTAAGGAACTAGCCGTTTCTGCCTCTTCTCAGAAACTAAAGACTACCGGCCCAGCACGGTGGCAGTGGCTCCCACCTGTAATCCAGCACTTTGGGAGGTCAAGGTGGGCGATTACCTGAGGTCAGGAGTTTGAGACCAGCGTGGCCAACACTGCGAAACCCTGTCTCTACTCAAAATACAAAAAATGAGCCAGATACAGTGGCATGCACCTGTAATCACAGCCACTCAGGAGACTGAGGCAGAAGAATCGCTTGAACCCGGGAGGCAGAGGGTGCAGTGAGCCGAGATCACGCCATTGCACTCCAGCCTGGGAGACAGAACAAGACTCTATCTCAAAAATAAAAATTAAAATTAAAAAAAGACTATTATGTTGGCCCCATACGTAAACTGAGTCACTTTGCTCATAGACTTGGGGTTCCGTAGACAACTGTCTGACCATCAAAGCTGACCAAGAATGATTTGTTTTATTCTTAGTTTTAGCTGCTCCCCATAAACTTCAGATTAGGATAAAAGAGGCTTTTTAATGGTGATGCTAATTCATTTTGTATGCAAATTTTCTCCAGTTATTTAGATCCCAGGTGTTTCCACTTTAATGTTGATCTTGAAGAAATCAGAGAAGTCGTATCAAAGTAACCTGATTTTACAGTTCCTTCCCTAATAAATGACTGACTGATGGGTGAATAAATAATGCAGAGTCAAGTGAAATATTTTGCAATTATGATATCAGAAGCACAAAGAAAAGATTGAAAACCATATCATGGAAACAGTAGAGATTTTCAGGAAGAAAGCAAATTAATTTTTAGAAAAAATAACTTTTTTCAGTTAGGACTTTTTTTGATGGATGCAACTCACCCCTGACATTTGCAGTCCTCTCAATTTTTAGAGCAGATATAATTTTTCTATTTCTTTGGCTCAGTATAAGAAAGCTATAAGAAATCCAATTCATATTTGTTAAACTGTGTTGAAAATAATTTATTTTGTAGCAAAAATGTCAGAGACATCTAATGTTGTATCAAGACAAAAGAGCAAAACTGGCATAGAAGGGATTTTTTTGTTCAGTTCACTAAGGAGGCAGTTGTCCCCCTCATTCATACTCCAAGAAATAGTTTGTCAGTAAAGTATAGCTCAGTAACTTGGTTGTGTAAAATAAAATACATCAGGCTGGGCGCGGTGGCTCACACCTGTAATCCTAGCACTTTGGGAGGCCAAGGTGGGCGGATCACAAGGTCAGGAGAGCAAGACCATCCTGGCCAACACGGTGAAACCCCGTGTCTACTAAAAATAGAAAAATTAGCCGGGCATGATGGCGGGCGCCTGTAGTCCCAGGTACTTGGGAGGTTGAGGTAGGAGAATGGCGTGAACCTGGTGTAGTCCCAGGTACTTGGGAAGATAAGGCAGGAGAATGGAGTGAACCCGGGAGGCGGAGCTTGCAGTGAGCCCAGATGGGGCCACTGCACTCCAGCCTGGGCGACACAGCCAGACTCCATCTCAAAAATAAATAAAATAAAATAAAATAAAATAAAATAAAATAAAATAAAATAAAATAAAATAAAATAAAATAAAATAAAATAAAATAAAATAAAATAAAATAAAATAAAATAAAATAAAATAAAATAAAATAAAATAAAATAAAATAAAATAAAATAAAATAAAATAAAATAAAATAAAATAAAATAAAATAAAATAAAATAAAATAAAATAAAATAAAATAAAATAAAATAAAATAAAATAAAATAAAATAAAATAAAATAAAATAAAATAAAATAAAATAAAATAAAATAAAATAAAATAAAATAAAATAATCAAAGGGAAATTACTAACACATTCTTTATAATATCCATTCATAGGTCACTTTAAAAGCTGTAGGCCAGGCTGTTCTCAATTACTTCACCTTTATCTTAGAGCAAATGTGTTGAATGGGGAAGGAAGTTGAGAGGTTTGAAAGAGGTGTTTCTTATAAACCTACTTCTTGACCTACTAAAAGCTACCAAGTCATATTCTCTCTTCCCTTCTTCTCCTTCCCCCATTAATCCCCCCCTTCCTCCCTCTCTTTCTTCCTCTTCTCCTTTCCTCTTTCTTCCTTCTCTCCTGTCTCTATCTCCTTCCTCCCTGTGTCTGACTCTCTTACCTTTCTGTCCCATCTTCTTTTTGCCCCCTTCCCCTTGTCCCTTTCCTTCTCTGTCCATGTCCTAGGTAGCCGATGCTGTAGAAAGACTGACTGCTGTGGCCTTCTCTCAAAGAACAAAGGAGACTAGAGAGCCGAGAAATATCAGGGGAGATTGTAAAGTAGTCAATATGTCAAGGAAGGGAGAGATGGAATGTTCCTAGCTGCTATGAGGGAGAACTTACCACTAGGAGCCTTTGAAAATACAGCCATTATTGATGACAATTTATTAATCTTGAGAGAGAGTTTATAATTTTTATAAAACTGTCAAAGGGGACTACCATCTCAAAGGTGACAAAACACTGCACTAGACTATATTTTTGGAGTATATTAAACTTATTCCTTAGGTTTCCAGGGAAAAATAAATCTGATGATGTATTTACACACAATATATCCAGTATAGAATCACTTCAGGATTATTATAATTTGTTTAGAATTGAGTGGAAGTGCTGGACTCTTCTGTCAGAAAATGCATACATATTCATATCATTTTCGTTGAATTTTATAATTTTTTTGAGTGATTGAAGTCTAATCATGGGTTTGTACATGAGCTTGTGCTGTGAAATATGACCATTTGGTAATTTGTTTCCCATTGACTAGAAAGCCAGTGTTTATGTGATGAAAGAAAGAGAACATGGGAAAAAAGGCTGGAGAGGGTATGTGTGGGCAGGGCATGTAGGAAGAGAGGCTGGTGAATGGGTAAAACATACAGTGAGGTAGAAGGAATACATTCTAATGTTCAATAGCAGAGTAAGGTGACTGTAGTGAACAAGAATATGTTGTATATTTCAAAATTGCTAGAAGAGAGGACTCAAAATATTTTCAACACTTAGAAATGACAAATACTCGAGGTGATGGACAACCTTAACATTCTGACTTGATCATTACACTTTCTATGCAGGTAGCAAAATATCACTTGTACCCCATAAAAATATACAACTATTATGTATTAGTAATTTTTTTAAAGAAGAGTGCAGATATATTTCTATATTGCCTATAAAATAATGAAAATGATGCCAACTCCTATTATCCAAATAATCATCCCAGCAGTGTTCAAGAAGATGTGCCATGGTCCTTGCAGAAACTTTAGATGCTTCCTCCTGACTCTACTTGATACTTGCTTTAGAAAGATTTTCTTCTCAATTTGGAATCTAGTAGAAACAGCAGCAGTAACAACTCCCATTGATGACATATCCCCTGTAGACAAGAATTTCCAATGTGTTTAATATACATTTTCCCACTTAATTCTCAAAAGAATTTTATTGGGTGGGTCCATTAGGTAGACCTTATTAGCTTCCTTTACCCATGAGGAAATTGAGGCCTAGGCATTTTAAATGGCTTGGCCAAAATCATGAGCAATAAGTGAAAGAGCTGGCCTGGAAAGCACAGATGGCCTGAGTCAGCATTCAACAGGACCTGGACAGGGAAGGAAAGAGTGAAAGAAATGGGGAAGGAAAGAAGATGGAACAGAAAGAGAAGCAGACACAGGGAGGAAGAAGATGGTCCTCATCTTTCCAAGGTGTTTAATACTAGAATGATTGCCCATGCAATCTTATATCCTGAATGAATCATGCTTAGAAATAAAAAGGAGGGCAATGAAGACTAAGTTGACTAATGGCTGCTATGACCAGATTTTTTTTTTTAAAAATCTCTGAATGGAAAATTTACTTTTAAATCTCACACAACAGCACGTGTCCATAGCATTGATCTATGCTATAGGTGCCGGAGTAAACGTGTATGGAAATGAGTCTGTGTTTCTGCAGCAATATAAAAGGGAGATTCTAGACTGTCTCAGGAGAAAGGTGTGGGGAGAGCTTATCTAGAAAGAAGGAGACACAAGAGAGGTGACATTTCTTAAGAACTTTTGTGAGAATAATCATTCTGTGCTCATTGGCTATGGGGAAATCTTCAAAATGTGCCTGAATTCCCAGGAGATAAGCAGCCCTTTGCCAAAGGCAAAATTATAAAATATTGAAAAGATACTTCTCAGGCTAGTAAAAGATGGGAAGGAGGTTCCTCGCCCCCCATCCTGTTTCACTAGCACACGAGGAGACACTGTACAGAACCGATAATAGTAGACTGAACCCAGCTTACAAGAACGCCAGTTCATTTTGCTTGACTTACAATAAAGCCAGCTCTATCTTGGTAAATTCCCTAAATACAGTATGGTATCTAGGACCCAATATAAAGTTATCATATTCTTTAAAAATATTTTAGAACGGGAAGGATTATATTATTCTGTAATATTTATTATTATTGCTCTAAGTAAGTGTGTTGTGTTTTGTTTTGAATACTTTTAAAATACAGGTTTATCTAGTGTAATTTTAATAGCTCCCATAGTAGAAAATTGAGAATTTTTGGACTGTAGGGAAGGCAGAGAGGCTTTTGATGTTCCACAATGCTTTAGAGCACAGGTTTGGGGTCAGGCAAAGAATGGAACACATTTAAGCTGTGATACTTATGCTGCAATGAGTATAGGCCAGTTACTTAACCCTTCCCAGCCTCAGTTTTCCTATCCTTTTTGAAGGATAATAAAACCTACTTAAAAAGTTTCCTGTGAAGATTAGTTCATACAGTTCAGGAGAATTTCTCATCCTGGTGCCTTTCCCATAGAGAATAAGTAGATATCATTGGGATTTCACAGTCCTGGAACTGCTCAGGGAAATGCACATCACAGGTTCATTAGTTCCCTTTTTGTCTGCATGTTACTTTTCTGCAAAAACAATATGAAAAACAGTAACAGAAGGAATCCAATTAAAATTTGCCTATATATTTTATCTCTTAATGAAATCAGTTTTTCGTTAATCTGTATTTCTTTTTCAAAGCAGTATATGAAAATGTTTTATATTTTTACACATTTTAGTTTTATATTCTAAATATTACCACTATATTGTGATAACTTCCATTTTGTTGCTGTTTCCTTTTCCTTTTTTTTTGTTTTTTTGAGACGGAGTCTCGCTCTGTCACCAGGCTGGAGTGCAGTGGCGCGATCTTGGTTCACTGCAGTTCACTGCAACCTCCACCTCCCAGGTTCAAGCGATTCTCCTGCCTCAGCCTCCTGAGTAGCTGGGACTATAGGTGCATGTCACCACACCCAACTAATTTTTGTATTTTTTGTAGAGATGAAGTTTCACCATGTTGGCCAGGATGGTCTCAATCTCTTGACCTCATGATCTGCCTACCTGAGCCTCCCAAAGTGCTGGGATTACAGGCGTGAGCCACTGTGTCTGGCCCATTTCCTTTTTCTTATAGCATCTTTTCTCTCCCTTCAAGAAAATAGGCTGCAATGTTATACAAACGAAATCTACCCCATAGAGAATGTAGCTTTATTTCATAAAAGTAGGATCATACATATCACATGTACATATCTTCTTAACTTGCTTTATTACTTAACCATAGGTAGTAGGCGTGCCTCTACATTAATGAAATTAATCTATAGAAAAAATAAAGCTTTATATTGTGAGGATATGTGTACAGGGCTGGTTATTGCAGTAGTGTTTGAAATAGCAGTACAACTGAAAACATCCTGAAAGTTTATCAATAGGGGTAAGGGTGAATAAATCAAAGTAGATCCACATTACAGGGCATTCTTTGGCTATTTTAATGATATTTAGAATTCTATCTCTAGATTTTTTTTGAATTGGAACATAAAACAGATGTTGTTTAATATAATACCTTCATTTTACATATCAGGAGATTGAAACCTGAAGCAGCTTGCCCAACTTTAGTCCTTGAGAGAGCCAGACACAAGCCTGACTCAGTCCAGGGCTCATTCCACTGCCTCCTCTTCCAGGCACATGTTGGCTACAGAGTTCACATGGGGCCGAAGGTCAGCTGTGGCTGGATCTGCATATGAATTTGCAGCATGCATTTAAAAAAGCTTTTAGTACAACATCTTCTGCAGTGAGCATTGGAGAGTGTGTAACATGAAAACTGCATTAGGTGGTTTTCGGTTACAGTACGCAGTTAGTACCACCTGTTGTCATGCATTTGTTCCCTGACTGATTTTCCTGGAGGAGGTCAGAGCCCTGCATTACTTTGCTATGCACCACGATGGCAGGGTCCTGAATATTTAATCACGCTTCTCTGATGAGAAGGGTGTATGGCAGCAAGTTCCAGGGGAGTGTGTGAGTGTGGTCGTCCTCAGACTGCTGTTGGGAAATGAATCCTTAGGAAACACTCAAGGACATTCAAAAGGCACAGAGGATTTCTGAGCCAAGCTTTGCCTTTACCTAGTTGAAATTGAATTTAGATTTGTAGGATGAAGTGCTAAAGAGGTATTCATCTTCCACATCATCTAATATTCTGCCTTATGTAAGTCAAAACAAGAATATATAATTTGGGAAGAATGACAGCAGTTATGTCTTGTTGCTGTTCTATTGCTGCCTTTTCCAGCAGGGCATGCCAATGTGGGCCCTCCTATCCAATTTAATCTAAAAGTTGCATGTGCTGGCAGCTCTGGTGGTTATCATTATATGATGTCAGTAATTATTAGCTGTTGGACTAGGATATGTGCTTCTCTTTTGGCATTTGGCCTATGGCATTAGTGTAGTTAGTTATAAAAGCATCACTGGACATTTTAGCACAAAAGGGATTACTCACACTAAAGAGAATTGTAACCTGGTGTAGACAAGACATCACTGAGTATATATGTTTCTGTGATTCTGTAATACCATTGCCTCTACTATTCCTAGGTGTTTACATAAGTCACAAAATCTTTTTTACTGAGCACATCAAGAATACTTCTGTTTTAATACTACCGTTATTTTTTAATAATATTTAGACCTGTTTTTTTTGTTGATGATCTTAACTTTAAAAAAAATTATTTGCATCTTCTCTTTCTTAAAAACTAGTATCTGTTTATGATAAAGAAATAGTGTAAAACAGTTCAATTTCAAGTGAAAAATAGGGCAATGCCATTTATAACTGAGACAATGTGACAACAGCCTGTAGGGCACCTCTGTCTCCTTCAGGTATTCTATCCATATTCAGTTTTAATTGCTATGTCTTCAGGAATGATATCACCATGTGACCTTCAACATTGACCTTTCTTCTGAATGGTAAATCATCATTTCCAAATACTCAGTTTGTATCTTAACGTCATCTGAAACTCAGCTCTCAACCTCTACCTGGTAAGTAGAAACTCAATAAATATATACTGAGTCAACTCATCATCTGTATATGTTGGCTGGGGGCCAAGGGAAGGTCAGGACATTTATTGTTCTTTTTAATTCTTTTTTTATTATGCTGTTGTCCTTCACTTAGTTACCCCAGACTCACAATTGTTTTTTTTTGGGGATCTCACCTCACAACAGAATGAGACAGAAAGTTCTGTGCCTCTCCCTTAAAAAATATACACAAATATTTTTGTTAGAGTTCAGCTTACTCATATTTATATTAGTCTAATAGTATATGTAATAAAATTTAAAAAATACTAATCTGCAGAAAAATTAATAAAGGAAGGGGAGAAAATAGCATGCTGAATTCGAAAGTTTAAATCACATATGTGGCCTAATTGTTTTTAAATATTAGTTAACTGGCTAATCTATAAAATATTGTAAAAAGGCAATGTAAAATATTGTAAAAAGTTTACCAAATCTGTGTGAGTCCATTAGGTTCCAATGGACACCACAGGATTGCTTGCGGTTGATGACTTCTGTTCAAGCCAAATGAGCAACCTCATTGTTTTAAAGCTGCCTATTGATTGCCTTTGATATAACTGAAAATGAGGCTTCCTTGACTCACTTGTGATTTGTTTTGAAATGGAAGGCTGGGAATGCATTACCAAGACCACATCCCAGCCTCTCAGTGGTCTGCAGGTGGCTTTAGGCAGAAATATCTGGTGGGTTATTGGGAGTTTATAGAGCCATAATTTTGTCATCTTCAGCTTGCTCTTTGATTGTTCTTTGACTTCTCATTCCAAGATGGTATTTGGCTTATGTCGCTTTGATTATCAAAAGTCTGTGTTTTTGAGAATTCAGGAGATATCAAATCTGTAAGACTCTTCACCCCATACTTAGAAATTCTGTCTATATATTGGAGGCGGGGCCTAAGAATTCTGCATTTTAAACAGGCATTCCAGGTGGTTCTGATGCAAATAGGCCAAACATTGTACTTTGAGAAAAAATGGGTAAGAGTGTAAATACAATTAAGTGGATGAGCTCCAGTGATCTCAATAAAGAAAAAAAGTTTATATATTAACACTTTAAAATGGTTATATAATTGTAGGGTAGTATTTTAATACTTCCTATAACTACATGTGTTTTGTCAGGCAGGAGACTGCATGACTGTTTAATAGCTGAGAAAATGCATCTGAGTAAAGGTAAACAATATGATATTATGTTCCAGTGTGAAATTAGAACCCCAGTTCCTTATTCTAAATGACCCACCAAAGAGTGGGAAAAAGAGAATTTCTCATAAGTTGATTTTGTATATGTATATTAGCTGACATTATCCGTGTGTGTGTGTGTGTGTGTGTGTGTGTGTGTGTGTATGTGTGTGTTTCAGGATAATGTCAGCCTAATTTTATGGAATATTGGGCTTGAGGACACGTCTCATCCTTTTTTCTTATAATCTAGGTATAAATCTATGACTGGAAACTTAGCTCCCCTAACCATACTGACCCCTCAACCTTTCCTTTTTTGAAGTCCTGGATGCTGACACAGAATCCAAATTCCAAGCCCATGATGCCAGTCATGTCTCCATTGGACAGGACTCTCCAGTGTATTTTTATTTTTTTTAAAGTATGATGTAAACATCTGTCTCTGACTCTCAGGGCTCTCCCTCAGCTAATCACATCTGCTCCCATCTCCTGTAACAACAACAATGAGGACTTCAGACAGAGTTTTTGGTGGGTGGGGTCTCATCAATGGAGCCTTACCTCTACCTGGTGCACATTTCCAATGGACTATTTGTCCAAAATCTACACATATGTCATAAACACTTTTCCTTACCTCTGAACACTCATGAATAACAAACAGTGGCTCTCCTTAAAAACACAACCAAACAAAGAATAGTTCAATCTCATCTTCTAGAAAAAATTTCACTTCTTCGGCCCTCCAGGATGTTTTGTTTTACTTTTTAAAGCTCATAATTTGTATTTAGTAGATACTTCTGTGAATCTATTTACATGTAAATATTTGTTCACATTGTCACACTCAATACCAAGGTGATACAGAATCCTCATATCTATCAATGATTTAGTCTTCATTGTGTGACATTAGACTATGGCAGAAAGCCTCAACAATGGCATCATTTAGACATTACCTAAAATGTTTATCGTATGGTTTGTGGTCAATTTAGACCTAGCCACACTAAAGGAGGACTTCCTATGCCAGTAGGGTTGATTTTGACTTGCTTTGTATTCACAGAGCTATAACCAAAGTTGATGCAAACATTGGTAGTGTCATGGCAGGCTCTTTACTCAGTGAAGTAGGGGAACAGCTTCTGGAATAATAATGGACCTGGCACTGGGGAGTTCCTCTCTAATGGACAGTAGCAAGTCTGATATTTTATCAAGACCCACTTTCAAAACCTGTGACTTTGCCGCAAGGCTCTGCTCTGCTTCTCTTTGCAGCCCCATGGTGTGCTATTTTTATGCTGCACATGTTTAATTTTGCAACTTGTGACAATTTGAAAGGCATAACAATGTCTGTTCCCACTGAGATACACAGAACACACCACGATGTTTTGAGAGGAGCAGTCTTTGAGAGAAAACTCCACTGTGAGAAGAGTCTTCTTGGGAATCACTACACTCGTCATTCCTTGAAGAGAAGCCAACTTTCTTCCCTTAATCAATCAGTCACATTTATTTTTCCATTCTAAGAAGCAATGAGGATCATCTAAGTGCATTTAAGATTTCATATATTTGGACTTTGGCCTTCTCTAAAAGAGCTGCTCTGAAAAACATTTCCTCCAAAATGCAATTAGGAGAAATATATCTTGAAATGAGTCTACACTTCTTTGTCCTTCTGTAACTTATTTCACATGGCCAGTAGTTGCTTGTGGAATCATCACTCATCAAGGAACCTTTTGTTCTTATCACATGATGAGCTGGTTTGCATTTAAACTAAATTTTTCTGTAACTTTACTGTTAGGAATTTTAGTAGTCCCCTTACCATGTGCCAAAACTGGTTTCATCTCGAAAACCTTTAAGCCCTTATGAGCTGTTCACTTATATTTCTTTGTAAATGACAGTGGCTTTGCTCAAACATCTCTGAAATATTAAAGACATCTGTTATTATTGAACATGCAACTCTTGATTCTTGATATTGCTGCTAGTGGTAGTTATATCTAATCCAAATTAGCTGATCATTAAAAGAACATTTTTGTTTTCTAATACTCTGTGATATTTGTATAGTTCTCTTCCTAATTATGTTTTGTGTTTTCCCAAGGATAGCATTAAACAACTTTATTTTCCCTGCATACTCCCCAACAATACACAAATATAGGCAGTGGGATCCTTGCACACATCCAACACAATTGGTGATTAGTAATTACTTTCCCTAGAGAAAATATTGATCATGCTGGTGCTCTAGGCTTCAATGTGAAAAATGAACCTTCTACAGAGGGCTGATTTTGAGAAGGTTTTTCAAACAGATTGATTTGTGGATTATTAGCTGACTGTCCAGGGTCTACAGAAAGTTACATATACAGAGAAAGCACCTATGTGCACATTCCAGGTATCTACATGGGTCTCTTTTACACCACCTTCAAATTTTACTCAAACATCATCACTTTCTCTTGAGGACTTTTGTTATCACCTTGCTTTACATGCCCTGCCATCCCTTCCCTCCATTCGACATGCTCAGTGTCCCTTTGCCTGCTCTGTTGTTTCTTTCCCCGTTCCCCATTATAAGCTCCATGAGACACCAATTTTGTCTATTGGGTTCACTCATGTATATTCAGCACCTAAAACAGTAGTGCATAGAAGGGGCTCAAAAGGTATTTTTAAAATTTTATTTATTACATTTTTCATTAAATTTTTATTTGGGTATAATTGTAGATTAGCATGGAATTATAAGCAAATAATACAGAGAGATGCAGTGTACAATTTACTCATTTTTCTGCAGTGGTGACATCTTACAAAACTATAATAAAATATCACAACTCAGATACCAACATTGATACAATAAGGATACAGAAGACTTCCATCACCACAAGGATCTGCCGTGTTGCACTTCTATAGCGAATGCCCTTCTTTCTGCCCCCACCCTTTGCTTAATCCTTGGCACCCACTAATCTGTTCTCCACTTTTATAATTCTGTCATTTTGAGAATGTTATATGAATGGAATCATGTGGTATGTAATCTTTTGAGACTGGCATTTTCACTCTGTGTAATTCCCTTGAAAGCCATCTAAATTGTGTCTATCACTAGTTCATTCCTTTTTATTGCTGTGTAGTATCACATGGTTTGGACATATACAATTTCATTAACCATTCACCCATTAAAAGGCATCTAGGTTGTTTCTAGGTTAAGACTATGACAAGTCAAAATGCTATAAGCATCCGTGTACAGGTTTTTGTGTGAAAATAAATTTTTATTTCTCTGGGATAAATGCTCTGGAGTACAATTGCTAGGTTTTGTAGGTGATGTATGTTCGGAATTTTAAGACACCGCCAGACTGTTTTCCAGAGTGAATGTAACATTTTACATTTTCACTGTCCATGTATGAGTGATCCAGTTTTTCTGTGTCCTTGCCAACATTTGGTCTTGACACCATTTTTGATTTTATGTTAGCCATTCTAATAGATGTGTAGTAATAACTCATTGTAGTTTTAGTCTGCATTTCAATAATTAGTAATGCTATTAAATATCTTTTCATGTGCTTACTTGCCATCTGTTTTACCTTTGTGGTGAAATGACTCTCCATGTTTTTTGCTCATGTTCTAATTGAATTGTGTGCTTCACTATTGTTGAATATTCAAAGTCTTTATATACTCTAGATACAAATCCTTTGTCAGATAAGTGGTTTGCATATTTCACTTTCACTCTGTATGTTGTCTTTTCATTGTCTTGACAGGGTCTCTGATGAGTGAAAGTATTAAACTTTGATGCCATCTAATTTATTAATTTTTCCTTTTATGGCTCATGTTTTTGGAATATATACTAATTGAAAACATCTGTTCTACCAGCAATGAACATTGCTAAGGACTCTGCGTAGCCCTAGATTCTGAAGATTTTCTTCTTTTTTTTTCTAAAACTTTAACAGTTTTACATTTTACATTTAAGCCTGTGATGTATTTTGAGCTAGTATTTATACAAGGTGTGAGATCTTCACCAAGGTTGGGTTCTTGCCTATGGATGTCCATTTGCTCCAGCGTCACTGTTGAAAGGCTGTCTTTCCTCTACTGAATAGCTGCTCTTGCATCTTTGTCAAAATTAGGTGTGCATAATTGTGTGGCTCTATTTCTGCATTTTCTACCCTGTACCACTGAACCATGTGCTCATCTGTTGTTCTAACCATACCTCACAAACTTGAGAACTGCAGCCATATAAGTCTCAAAGTCATTCTACCTGATTTCAAGACTTACTTTTCAAAATTGTGCTGGCTATTCTAGTTCCTTTGTACATCTATATACATTTTTTTGAAAAATCTTGTCTATGATCGAAAAGTCTTGTAATTTTGCTTGCAGTTGCAGTAAAGAACTGACATCTTTACTATGTTTTATTTAAATCATCTTTTTATTTTTTATCAGAGTTTTTGTAATTTTCAGCACACAAGTCTTGTATATGTTTTGTTTGACACACACCAAAGTATTTCATTTTTTGAGTCATTGTAAATGATATTGTATTTTAAATTTTAGTGCCCATATGTTCATTGCTAGTACAACAGGTTTTTTCAAGTAGTATAATTGAATACTTAGCTAGTATCCTATGACATTCCTGAAGACACTAATTTATACTAGAAATTTTAATTTTTCCACCTATGAGTGAGAACATGTGGTGTTTGGTTTTTTGTCCTTGCGATAGTTTGCTGAGAATGATGGTTTCCAGCTTCATCCATGTGCACATGCACCCTAAAACTTAAAGTATAATAAAAAAAGAGAAATTTTAATTTTTATAGATTCTTTGGGTTTTGTATGTAGAAAATCATCTTATCAGCAAATGGAAAGATTTTATTTATTTCTTTACACTCTGTATGCCTTTAAGTTTCTTTTCTTACCTCATTGTACTGGCTAGCACTTCCAACACTATGTTGAATAACATTGGTTGAAGCACTTTTTTGTCTTGATCCTTATCTTTGGGTGAAAACATTCAGCCTTTCACCATTAATCATAATGTTACTAGTAGGTTTTTGTAGATGTTCTTTATCAAAGTAAAGCAGTTTGTCTATTCCTATTTCTTGGATTTTTTTTTAATCATGAATCAGTGTTGAATTTTGTCATATGCTTTTTTTTGCATCAGTGAATATAATCATGTGATTTTTTTTTGTGGGGGGCCTGATAATATGATGTACTACTTTGATTTTTTAAATATTGACCCAGGCTTGCATCCCTGGAATGAACTCTACCTGACTATAATATATATTTCTTTTTATATATTGCTAACTTCTCTTTGATAATATTTTGTTTATGATTTGGAGTCCATACTTCTAAGAGATATTTGTCTATACTTTACTTTTCTGTGATATTGTCTTTCTCTAGTTGTTGTGTCATGCCAATACTGTACTCATAAAATGAATTATGAAGTATAACTCTTGTCTATTTTCTGGAAGAGATTGTGAAGAATTAGTGTTAATTCTTCTTTTCATGTTTGATAGAATTCTCCAGTGAAACCATGTGGTCTGAAGTTTTTTTTAATGGAAAATTTTATAAATTGTAAATTAAATTTACTTACTTAACAGGTATAAAGCTATTCAAATTATCTATTTAATCTTTGGTGAATTATTTTAGTTTGTATTTTTTAAGGAATTTTTCCATTTCATCTAATTCATGAAAATTATGTTGTAGGGCTGTTTGTAGTATTCTTCTCTTACGGAATGAATATTTGTTTTTCCTGCTCACAAATTTATATGTAAAGTCGTAACCTCTCAATGTGATTGTATTTGGAGCTGTGACATTTGGAGGTCATTGGGTTTTGATAAGGTCATGAGGATAGTGTGCTCAGGATAGAATTAGTGTCCTTATAAGAGGAGGAAGATACCACCTCTCTCTCTCTTTCTCCTCCACGTGAGGATGCAGAGAGAAGACAGCACTCTCCAAGGTAGAAAGAGGGCCCTCACCAAAATCTGAATATTCTGGCACCTCGATCTTGGACTTCTCAGTCTCCAGAATTGTGAGAAATTAATGTCTGTTGTTTTAGCCACCCAGACTATGGTATTTTGTTGTAGCAGCCTGCATTGAACAACATATCTATTATCCTTTTGACATTTGTAGGTTTTCTAGTTTTATCTCTCATTTTAAAAAGTATTTTTAGTAGGCCGGGCATGGTGACTCACTCCTGTAATCCCAGCACTTTGGGAGGCCAACGCAAGCAGATCATCTGAGGTCAGGAGTTTGAGACCAGCCTGGCCAACATGGTGAAACCCTGTCTCTACTAAAAATATAAAAATTATCTGGGTGTGGTGGCGGGCACCTGTAATGCCAGCTACTCGGGAGGCTGAGGCAGGAGAATCACTTGAACCCAGGAGGTAGAGGTTGCAGTGAGCCAAGATCATGCCCCTACACTCAGCCAGGGTGTCAGAGTGAGACTCCATCTCAAAAAAACAAAACAACAACAAAAATGTATTTTTAAATGAATTAAAACATCCATCTTAATTTTTGAGTACATTATAGATATCTACATTCTAATATATCTAAAGCAGATCTTTTGATTCTCTTAACCCTAGAAGACTACAGACAGTATTAATTTGTATTTATTTATATTTTTAAGTTTTTAATTGGCAAATAATACTTGGCATATATTTATGGGGTACAATATGATGTTTTGATATATATGGTTATTGCAGAAAGATTAAATCAAGATGATTAACAATTTGATTACCTCACCTACTTATCTTTCTGTGGTGAGAATGGTTAAAATCTACTCTTTTCACAATTTTGAAATACACGTTATTAGCAGCTGTGGTCATCGCGTTGTACAATTGATCAATAAAATGTATTCCTCCCGTTTAGCTGAAACTTTGTAACCTTTGACCAACATTTTTACTTTTTCCATCAGCCCTTCCCTCTCATCCTCTGGTAAATACCATTCTACTCTTTGTTCCTATGAGTTCAACTTTTCTAGATTCCACATATAAGTGAGATCATACTATATTCGTTGTTCTGTGCTTGGCTTATTTGACTTAGCATAGAACATCCTTGAGTTTCTTCCATATTATCACAAATGATAGAATTTCCTAATTTGTATAAGGCTGAATATTATTCCAATGTGTATATATACCACATTTTTTTATTCATTCATTTGTTGATGGACACTTAGGTTGCTTCTGTATCTTGGCTATTGTGAATCATGATGAAATGAACATGGAAATGCAGATATCTTTTTGACATACTAATTTAATTTTTTATATATATCCCCAGAAGTAGTTTTGACAAAGGTGCCCAGAACACACCATGGGGAGAGGACAGTGTCTTCAATAAAAAGTGTTGGGAAAACTGGATAACCATATGTAGAAGAATGAAACTGGACCTTTATCTCACATCATATACAAAAATATTAACTCAAAATAGATTAAATACTTAAATGTAAAACCTGGAACTGTGATACTACTGAAATATAGGAGAAAAGCTTCAGGACATTGGTATGGACAATGATTTATCATATAGGACCCCAAAAGCACAGACAATAAAACAAAAATAGAGAAATGAAATTGCAGCAAACTAAAAAGCTTCTGCACAGCAAAAAACAAACAAAAAAAAACAACAAAAACACAGTGAAAAGATAACCCACAATTGGGAGAAAATATTTGCAAACCATACATCTGATAAGGGGTAATATCCAAAATATGTAAGAAACTCAAATAGCTCAATAGCAAGAAAACAAATAATGCATTTTAAAAAGTGGGCAAAGGACCTGAACAGGCGTTTATCAAAAGAAGACATACAAATGACCCGCAAGTTCCTGAAAAAACATTCAACATCCCTGATCATCAGGTAAATGCAAATTAAAATCACAATGATCTATCACTGCATATCTGTTAGAATGGCTATTAGCCAAAAGACAAAAGATAACAAGTATCCTAAGGGTGCAGAGAAAAGGGAACCTGCATATACTGTTGTTGGGAATGTAAATTATAATAGTACAGCTATTTTAGAATACAGTATGGAGTATCTCAAAAAACTCAATTATCATACGATCCAGCAATCCCATAGTATTTCTATGTCATCAACTCATTAAATTTACCCATTCAGTTATTCATGTCCCAAACTAATTCATTCTTAATTCTTTTCTTTCCCTCATGTCCCTATTCAGTGTACCAAATTGTACTGATTCTGTTTTCAATTATATCCAGAAACTGACTACCTGTATTTCCACTCCAGGCCATGCCACCATTGTTTCTCACCTGGGCCACTGTGATGCCCCCTCACATGTGTTCCTTCTTCCACTCTTGCTCCCTGGCAGTTCATCCTTTTCATAGCAGGCAGATCACACAAGTCCCCTATTCCCTAGAGTGGCTTTCTGGCAAAGAGACTGAAATCTAAATCCCTTACCCCAGCTATAAGGCTTCACATACTGTAGCCCCGGACTTTATCCATGAAAATGTCTCCCAGAAGTCTCTCCTGGCTCAGCATGTTTCAGCAGCCACACCCTTCTCTCTGTTCCTTAAGGATGCCAAGCTCATTCGCAGCTTGGCGTATTTGCATAAGCTGTTTCCTCCACCCAAGGTGCCCTTTACCCTAAACATCTCACGGTCAGTTCCTTCTTGTAATTTAAACTCCTACTTAACTTCTTTTCTTAGAGACCTCTTTCCTGACCTCTCAACCTACTCACTTTCTATTCTGCCAGCTGGTTTTAATGTTCTCTCCTGGTTCAACAGCACTTACTCATATGGGATATGTTCTTATTTATTATTTGATAACCTGATGTTTTCTTTGTTTAGGTGTAAGCTGCATGAGAACAGAGGCTTTGCCTTTCTCAGTTACCACTGTTTTCCCAGCACATAGAACCATGTCTGGAACATAATAGGTGTTCAGTATAGAATTGCTACATCTATGAATAAAAGTGCTGTGCTTAAGGTTGTCCATTCCCTATCTTATTTTACTCTCCAACAAGTAAATAAAATATGCATTCTATTCCCACTTTTGTAGATAAGGAAATGGGGTGTTCAACTAATTAAACCAACTGTTGAACTACAATTGTGTATTTCTTCTGCCTATTTCAAACTTAGGGATGCCATCACTCATGGTAAATGTGTAGGAGAAAGAACTTCAGAAAGCACGTTGCTGATTTTTGTGTATGAGTCTATTTATATCTTAAATAATTTCAATTAAAGTTCTGAAAATTCCTAGAATGCATGCTTTGTTATTCCATTTAAATGGTTAGAATGGTTAGAACCCTGAGACTGGTGGGAATGGGGAAGAGTTCTAGAAGAGAATGAGTTTCCATTCAATGTGTTTCAGTCTATGAGTCCAGGAGTTCTTTCTTTAGTGTAGAAGAACATAATTTCTTATGTAGTACTGTTGGGAATTATCAGTTTCAACTAGAATTATTGCAACTGTCAGAAAAAGAAGCCAAAAGGCCTGTCTAGGTATTTAAAATATGGCCCCATCTGTGCTAAATCTCACAGATATAATATTTATATTTATTCAGAATAAACAAAAATAAACAAACTCTAGGAGTATAAATTAAGAGTGTAGACAAATCCCGAAAACTGCCTAAGGCACTTAAGAATTCAGGAAAACCACTTTTTCAGAGAAGGCAAGCCTGTAGTTTTCTGGCTTTCACAGCAACTGCCTCTATCCCAATGTCTTAAAAGGAAAGTACTTTGTGAAAATTGCAAATCCTTGCAATTGTTCTGGCTATTAACTTTAAAAAAGTTGATTGGTAGGGAGATGGTTGTGTTTGCCTTTTTGAAATATGAAGAAACTGAGGCACTTCTTTCTCTTAGGACAACGCAGTAAATTAGTTTTGGAGCTCTGTTGCCTGGAGGCAATGTAAAGGGCTTAAGATTTCTGGTTTCTAGGCTACTGTGTTTTAAAGGAGACAATTATGTATCCTAATTTCCAAATACCTGAGCCCGCGCTGTGCAGAAAATGTAGCCAGTTTTAAGAAACAGCTTGTTTTCTCCCTCTAAGCCCATGAAGAAGAATACATTTATCCCTGACAAAATAGCATTGTCCCCATTTGGTGGTAAATCGTCAAGTCTGTTTAGAATCAGGGTCAGCTTCTCAAATGAGCCTTTCCCCCATGTAGCCTTCCTGAATCTGATTAACACTGTGTCAAGGGAGTTGTCTGATGTCTGACCTTGAGCAGCATGCTTCCCTCTCCCCACCTCCTTTTTTTGGGAATCATTCATTTTGTACAGCCTCGGGCCCTGAGATTCCTCCCCAGCAGGCTGGAGTGCACTCGCAGGTTCCCTTTATTGGTATCGGAAGGGTTTCAGACCCAGTGACCTGTCATCTGTCTTCTCACCTGCTTACATGCTGATTCACTGATGAGCTGGCATCGCAGGCCCCGCCTCCCTCTGAATGGTCTGTGAGGTTGCAACTGCTTCTGGAGAGGGGATGCCGAGCCGAACCAGAGCTGGGTTACTACAAGTGTGAACCGGCAGCCTGTCTGTTGCCACAGAAGAACTTGGTCACCACACTGAGAAGCCGTGTTTTCTCACCTCCCTGTTACTGTTGTAGCTGTATCTGGCTTCTCTAGCATTTTAAAGGAATTTCTGATTGAGGCGCTAACAGCTAATTCCACAGGAGTTGTAAGGCAGCCTGTGCATAAACTGAGACAGAAGTTTCTCCTCAGAGACTCTCTTTTTATTATTATTATTATTATTATTGGCAAAGACTTCTGGCTCTCCTCAGAGGAATACCTTGTTGCTTAAGATGAGTGGCTGTAGAAAGCGGTGTAAACGTGAAATACTGAAATTTGCCCAGTACCTTCTCAGACTATTAACAGGTTCTCTTCATACAGGTAATGACTTTTTTTTTTTTTTTTTTTTTTTTTAGTAGAGGCTAGTAGAGCATGGTAATGAAGTTGAAATGGAATAGGAAAGGCTATTTCTTTGTTGTGATTATTTTTAATGTTGTCAATAAAATGCAACTGTATTTGCTGAGATTTATGTTTCTAAAAATGTGTGCAGTGCAGCTCTTTTGGGGGTAGAACTGACTTCTATGGATGTATTTTTTTTATCTCTTCAAGGCAGTGTTCTTGGTAAATTTCAGGAAACAGTATCTGCAGAGTAGAAAGATTTTTTTTTTAAATACATGATTGTGCAAGGGGTTTTTCTCTTCTTTCCTGATTGCTGCAGTTTACTTGAAAAGCACACAGATTTTCTTCCTGCAGATATTTAGAAATTCTCTAGAACTGTTTGATTATTGTAATCCATAGATTATTTCCCATGTGTTTGATCATAGGGCTTGGCCGGGAAAGAGTTAAGGATATTTCTTTTGGATCTCTGGGTTCCTTGCAAAATGTGAGCAAAATATGAAAACAGCTGAAGAGTAAAATGTCCATGTGAGGTTTCATATTTGTTTCATTGCAGTGGATTTCAATGTTTAAAAATTTTCATGATTGAAATAGAAATTCTATTTAAATCTAAGTGTTGATAGCAAGAAAATATTTTTAATATGTTCCAAAATTATGAGGCTAAATCAACAGTTTTGTTGCTCATGAAATTCCTAGGCAATGCCGTCATTAAATTAGTGACAGGTGGGACTAAAATACTTGACACTGATAATATATATATTTTTTAACAGATCATCAAACTTCTGAGAGACAAATCTTGGTTAACAGGACACACACTTTGATTCTGGTCATAAAGAACTGTTGTGAGCTTTATTTTTCAAATACTGACCTATATTTGTTTTCTTTAATCTAAATAAAGAGAAAAAAAGAGTAAAGAAACTCACACACTGTAAGTAAGGATGATGTAAGGATGATGTGCCATTTATGATATCGTGTCACATTTGACAATGAGCAAGAGGTGATCTTGTGCTGATATAAAGCTGAGAGATGAATTTGAGCAACATTTTACCTAAGAAAGTAAAGTCTTGGCGATAATTAACTAAACTGCATATACAATTATGTTAGTGTAATAAGGGAAAACCATTTTAAGAGAGTAACTGACAATCAAATGATTTTAGAGAGCATCATCAAATATTAATAGATATTAAGAGGATTGTTAACATCCTAATGTTAATTTCCTGTTAATATCCGCATTTTAATCTTTAGGTAATGTGAATTGTGGTGACTTTGGATATTCTTTAAGGAATAATCATTGAGAGTCTGTATCTGACTTTTGCCAACTCGGAGCTCTGTGGTGTTTCTCACGCAGTCTTCACCTTTAGATTACAAATGTTTAGTCCCATCACTATGACTTTGACATTACCTGCATATTAGCTTTAAACATTCAAGTAAGGATGATGTGCCATTTATGGTATCATGTCACATTTGAAAATGAGCAAGAGGTGATCTTTTACCTTGCTATGAAATTAGAGAAATATTTTATAAAAGAAAGCTTTCCATGAGGTTTCCATGGTTGTCTGTCCTTTCCTCTCTGATAGGGCAATCCTAAGGTTCTGTCTGTTTCTGACTGGATTTAGGTACAGTTTTCTGCCTGTCTAGCTCATTCTGTTTGTTGAATAGTTTTCTTAAACTTTTGATTTCAAAGAATTTTACGAAAATGGTAAGTGGTTGGGAAACTGTAAACCATAAGTATTAAATCCAAAACACTGTGGTTGGTACTTTATCACTGGATGGTACTTTATAATATGGAAATTATGGAAAGCTGGTATAGCAGTAGTATTTTAAGCTTTATTCAATGCGTATTTGGAAATCACTGTAAGTGGGATTGCTTTCTTCTTTTTGAACCACAGGAGGAAAAAAAAAAAGAAGAAGCACAGCATCTTTGAACTTTGAGAACAAGGACCGACAGATTATCATAAAGTAGTAACATAGATTTATGACCTGAGAAATGTGATTGCAGCAACCTGTTTCTTGTAAAAATTCTTTTCGGCTCAGTCTCTAATACTAAATTTTGTGATATCCAGCCAGAATCTTTACAACTACTCAAAATGCGACTTGGAAAAGCCAATTTATGCATTTACTAGATGCTGTGATAATATACACCATTCATATTACAGAGTCTAATGTAAAATTCATTAGGACACTTTCAAGTCCCTTAGCTAGTAATTAATGAAGAAGTAGGAAACAGAGTTGAACTAGCTTAAAAAATTTCCTTTAAGGTTGGATATGCAGGCAGCTGCTAATTGTATCCTGAGCAATCAGCATGTATCTTTGTAGTTATCAAAAATTTAAAACAACACGAACATGTCTTGGGTGATTTTTTTTCTTTTTACCAAAAAGCCCTTTATTTATTTATTTATTTTTATTTTTTTTTTTTTTTTGGTCAATCGTGTTATCTGAGGAAACGGTGATTTTGTTTTACATTTGAAAACAAGTTAATTCCAAAATATATAATTTTATTTTTGGCAGCTGCTTCTCATTTGATACCACAATGGGCCATTTATACAAACATAGAATATTGGAAGTGCAAAGAAATTTTTGTGGATACAAACTTTCCTTCAATTTGTCTTATTAGTGTTATCACAAGTTACAGAAAAGCAATTTCCTTTTGTGAGAGCTTTTCATGTAAGTTGTGGCAGTGTCTAGGATTGCTTACAAATTAAAAATTTAATTTGATTTCTAAAATAATTTTTTTAGAGAGTACAGATTCAAAAGTAAAGATTTGTCCAGCTAAAATAAGATACATCTATTTTCCCTGAAACTTCCTACATATTTTTTATCATGGCAGATCACTTCTCAAAGAGTGTATTTTACAAACATATATAATGTCTGTATTTATCATAAAAACATATGCTTTTTAAAAGTTTATTTGTTATGTATAGCAAATCACAGAAATCCATATGCAAATATTACAAGTTAATGGCCTCAGTTCACTGTAGGATCAATTTTCCTATTTTCTTCTCAGCTTGAGATCTGCCTCTTGATGTACCATATCATATTCAATTCTAGATGGGGCTCATGCTACCCAATATATTCTTGTACACCTAAATAAATGGAGATAGGTCTTAGGATTGCTCCAAGAATACGACACTTCTATTTGTGTATGATAGGAACCCATACAACACCCTATCATATGAATGCTGCCCCATTGAGAAGGATGAATGTTATTGCAGATATCATGTTTTGAACTGTTTCTTCTTTATGTGTGAAATTTAATATTGTCATGTTTTAGGGTACTTATTTGAAGGTTGTTTTGACATTTTTCAATATTCTGTACATTGTTTTCTTGAAAAATCAAGACCTGAACACATTTTTCCATTATCAAGAATTCCCCAAATATACGTGTGAGGTGAATATTGCCTGGAGCTCTGTTTCAGGCTTCAGGTCTGAAAGTTATAGGCATGTCCAAGTTCAATTCTCCACCTAAGGGAAGCAAAAGCAATTTAAACCCAAAAATTCTGTGAAACACTGAATTGTTTAACTAGTGTGTTAAAGTATTTCAAATTTTGTGAAATTATATTATTAAAAGCAGGAGGTAAGAATTCATCATTCCATCAAGTAGAGAGCTTTAGATTAACGGATGAGAGGGAGAGATGATGCACATTTGTCCATTTGTTTCACAAGTTTTCTTTGAGTGGTTTCCAGCCTTAAAATTGACATCACTGAAGTTATTGTGGGTCAAGCCACCACAGGCTAGTCATATAAAGACTTATTTATTTATTTATTTATTTTTGAGACGGAGTCTTGCTCTATCACCCAGGCTGGAGTGCAGTGGTGCGATCTCAGCTCACTGCAACCTCCACCTCCTGGGTTTTAATCAATTCTCTCTGCCTCAGCCTCCCGAGTAGCTGGGATTACAGGCGCTCTCCACCAAGCTCTGCTAATTTTTGTATTTTTACTAGAGACGAGGTTTCGCCATGTTGGCCAGGCTGGTCTTGAACTCCTGACCTCAAGTGATCCACCCACCTCAGCCTCCCAAAGTGCTGGGATTATAGGCATGAGCCACCGTGCCCAGCCTTAAATATTTTAAATATTTTTTATACTACATTTTTGAAGTCTGAAGAGAAGCAGAAACTCTGAAAGTAGGAGGAAAATGAGACCAGCATTTTTTTCTTCCCTGAGCTTTCTTCCTAACAGGCCTCTGTGGGTAGGCTATATTCCTGTACTCAAGGCCACCACTCTGTCTGGAAGAGGTGATCCTAAGCAAAATCGGAGACTTGAACAAAGTTTGTTTCTGGCTGTGTGCCCTTCCATTTTCTGTTCTCTTCTTTCTCCCTGGAGATGATAGAACACAGAATCATATTTCCAACCTCTCTCTCCTATGTACTCTCTCATCCCCCAGCCCAGCCACATTTACACATAGGGCAGACACATCTCACACAAAGGAAGTACCCCTAAAGACCTCACATAAATAAACACTAGCAAAATTCAAGTTGAATCTTGGCAAAAAAAAAAAAAAAAAAAAAAATGACAGGATTTTCTATTTCCCAGTTCAAGTGGCCCTGACATGTGGCAGTCAAATACACAGTTTATATTCTCTTGGCCCGCATGCTCTGAAATTATGCTATTGCTGATTTATTTTTTTTCAACTTTTTAATCTATTCTTTCAAATTTTGCTGATAAAACAAGATTATATTTCTTAAAGCATCATGTAAAATTTTTATTATTCAAATGCATATAAAATACCACCATGTTACACTGTTTTCTTTTGCTCTTTCTTCCATTGAAACCTATTCTGAAGCTAAAAGAAAGCAAAGAAAAATGATGTTTACACTTGACTGCCAATGAATTTATGGCACTGTGTTACTTTTCCCAACAGAGTTTACATTTTCAACTTTATCAGGATAATTATTTTGTCCTGTTTAACTTTATAATCAGGATTAAAGGGACGTTTGTGGGGAATTCATGGTCTTGCTTAATCTTCTTATAATCTGCCATTTCTGCCAAATCTGATTACATGATCTCTGATTTAAACAAACAAAACACTTATATATACAGATTACTGGTTGCCTTCTTTAATTTCAGAAAGAAATTTGCATGTTAATGTTTTATTACATTGCAAATTATGTTCTTTTTCCTATAATTAGCATAGTAGGTAAGCTTGCAGGGTTAAAGCCTCTTTCCCAAAGAAGACTGTTTTTATCATTGTCATAACTTTAAAGTAGTAAGTGGTCTGATCTCACAGTCTTAGACGTGGTAAACTCTTAAAACTCACTTGTTGACTGGTTGGCTAAATTAATCAACATGTTTCACGAGGTCTAAAGGGAGGAGCTCATGTTCATAGAAAGAGTTGCATTTGGCCTGGTGCGGTGGATCACGCCTGTAATCCCGGCACTTTGGGAGGCTGAGGTGGGTGGATCACCAGGTCAGGAGTTTGAGGCTAGCCTGACCAATGTGGTGAAACCCCATCTCTACTAAAGATACAAGAAGTTAGCTGCGCATGGTGGCGGGTGCCTGTAGTCCCAGCTACTCAGGAGGCTGAAGCAGGAGAATCACTTGAATTCTGGAAGCGGAGGTTGCAGTGGCCAAGATGGCGCCATTGCACTCCAGCCTGGGCAACAGGGTGAGACTCTGTCTCAAGAAAAAAAAAAAAAAAAAAAAAAAGAGCTGCGTTTGCCCCTCTTGCTAAAGGTAATCAGAGCTTTCTTACCAGAAACTTCAGCACTTACACATCAGTGCCTCGTTTAAGTACTTAAAGAAACGTTTAAGTTTCACAATACAAGACAAAGACTACCGAGGATATTATACATCGATTGTGATCTGTATCAGTTCTGTTTCTGGCAGGAATGAGATCTTACACTCCAGAAAAGAATTTGATAAAGTGACTCTATATTGGAGCAATAAGGGGTAATGTGTATGCTCCAGCTGGTAACAGTAAACTATTGAAGAGGCAAGAGATAGGAACCATTTCCAGAGCCTGGAGAGGAAACCTGTGTCTAGAAAGCTTCCAGACAGAGTGGTGGCCTTGAGTACAGGAATATAGCCTACCCACAGAGGCCTGTTAGGAAGAAAGCTCAGGGAAGAAAAAAATGCTGGTCTCATTTTCCTCCTACTTTCAGAGTTTCTGCTACTGCTTCCATTGTCTGACCCCATCCTAGGAACCTGCGGGAAAGCTACTCTAAGCAGGAGAAATATGTTCATAGCAGTATTGATTATTTTATATTCACTCACCACTGGTATTACCACTGACTGGGCTTTTTTATTTAAAATTACTCACAGTGGTCATGTTGCTTCCCCTCAAAAGATATTGAAAGTGGCATGAGCAAGCTAATCATATCTGTGGGTCATGCAGAGGTTCCTATCATTCTACCACATCGTTTGCTATCATTGTTTATCTTTTACTTTGACAGTAAAACTTCTCTCAAATATTTCTCTGTATGTTTTTTTACATTCCAGAAGTAAAGTAAACCTATACATTCAAACAAACTGACTCTGTATTCTGAGAGAATGTCATTATAATCAGCTAAATTAAATGATATTTGAAAATAATGTGATGTTTGTTATTATGGGAAGATGTTATTACAACTCAGTGAGATACGGCTATGGTTTGTGTTTGTTAGGCACATTGATGGCTGTGTTACTCTGTTTTGCATTGCTGTAAAGGAATACCTGAGGCTGGGTAATTTATAAAGAAAAAATATTTACTTGACATACGGTTCTGCAGGCTGTACAAGTATTGCACCAGTATCTTCTTGGCTTCTGGTGAGGCCTCAGGAAGCTTACAATCATGGTGGAAAGTGAAAGGCGAGCAGATGTGTCACATGGCAAGACAGGAAGCAAGAGGAGAGGAGGTCCCAGATTCTTTTTAACAATCAGATCTGTCAGTAACTCATTACACTGGGGAGGGCACCAAGCCATTCATGAGGGATCTAGCCCCATGATCCAAACAACTCCCACTAGCCACCACCTCCAACACTGGGATCACATTTCAACATGAGATTTGGAGGGGACAAAACATCCAAACCATATCAACATCTTTTCTTGGATGAAGTTTATTTTCTTTCCAACACTGTTTTTCCAGTATTGGGATACATTTGTGGGCTTGGGAAGGTAAGATCTGAGGAGCTTCCCTTAACTGTGGAAGAAAAGTCCAACTGACCATGACAGAGATCATCGTTGATGTGTATATTTACGTATGTGTGTGTGTATATATATATATATAATATAAAATATATATATAATATATGTATATATATACATATATATGTATATTTGCAATATAAACTAGTTTTACCAACAAATCAGTTTTTAGCAAGTCCCTACAAAATATGGCTCTATGCTTAACGTTATTTATTTCTCCTTCCTAATAGAGATATAGCAGTGACATCAGGATGTCTCAAGGTGTTCTTTATTTGGGGCTAATGTTCACTTTATGTTTTTAAAGGAGGGTGAATAAAACCCTGCAGTAGATCAACATGTAATAATGTCTGAGGATGGCCAGTGAATCATTATTTTCCAACTTCAGGAAGAACAAATATGAGAGTAGGACTGAATCAGTGGCCAGGGTGGGCATAGAAGTACTGTGCCAAGGTTTGGCATAAGGGAGCATTTCATCGTTCTATATCATCATAAAAAGCATTTCGTCATTTGACACCCTTCTTTACTTATCTCATATCTGAACTATCAGGCTTTGTTTTGCTTCCTCTAATGTCTTTTCATCATAGTCTTAATGACAATAATATAAATATATTACATCATAACTGAAAAAGTTTATATTCTGAAAATGTGTTCCAGGAGAGCTATTCTCTCTGCTCAACCCCCAGCCATCTTTCTGAGAGGCAACAGCACAGCATAGAGCTGTGTTGGAATTCCAGCTTTTAATTCCTAACCTCACAATTGGGAAGACCAATTAGATGACCCCTCTAAGCTGGGTCATCGCATCTGTAAAATGGGGATCTTTGTACAATTATTTCTGTTGCTGGCACACGTTTAACAAATTTGTCGCTATTACTGATCTGTTATCTATAGGATGTTCTATTAGTTTTATTCAAATTAAATTTTCACTAAAAATAATTGAAATACCTAATCATTATTATGCTTCCTGGTAATTAGGAATAAATAGAAAGGTACCTATATAAATGACTGTGATTTTTAAACTCACTTGCCTTTAATTGTATTAGTTTTCAATAACTACAATAGCCATTTATTCATTCAACCAACATTTATTAAGTGCTTGTTAAGAGCTGAGTCTCGTGGTTCTGCTGAACTATTTCTTCATGATTCCCAGTTGCCCTGTCAACCTGCCAGTACAGCAAATAAATATGAAGCAGTTAACTCAACCAACCAACATATGCTAAGATTTCAAAAAGCAGAGGAAAACTATCTCTTACTATTTCAGTCAAGGACAATTTTAGGCAAGGACAATGGGCAAGGTAGGTGAAGCAACGGGACTGTAAAATATGTTCCTCTGAAAAAATTAGAAAGAAAGAGGCTTATGAGAGGGGAGCCAAGCAGGAAAGGCAAGGAAGCAGCTGGGGAGAGAGAGGATTAGTGGGATTATTTGTAGGAACAGGAAGTTTTGCTAAAAAGCTAAATGGTCCAGACAACCCGATTGCTGCAGAAACCACTGGCCAAGCCCAACAGAGGGTCCTGTTGTCTGCCTGGAGCAAATTTCCATGGCTTTTTGAGTGGTCAGGTAGGAAATATTGCATTTTATCAATTAAACACCTGTTCAGATCCTATTTTCTTTCCTTGGAACCCTGCTTCATTCTGTAATGTATATTGATTTATTTTCTTTTTGAGCTCTGATAGTACAAGTTGTCTGTCCCATATTGTTCAGCATTTAATTACTAGTCAACCCTGTATATTGAACAGATTCAGGTGTTCAAGTTTTATCTCAGGTAGATCAGTATCTTCTAAAAGACAGAAAACCTGGTTCAGTATCTCATCATTGAAATGCTTGGATCAGCAGTGTTTTGGTTTTTGGACTCTTCTGGATTGTGGAATATTTGCAGAATATATACTGGTTCAGCATTCCTAATTTGAAAATCTGAAATCCAAAGTGCTCCACTGAGCATTTTCTTTGAGTGTCCATTGAGCATTCAGAAAGGCTCAGATTTTGGAGCAGTTTGGATTTCATATTTTTGGATTAGGGATACTCAACCGGTAATACTTAATTAACCAGCTGTACCCAAACACAGTGTGTACTGCACAGTAGTTGCTTTAAAATATAGATTATTTCTTTATGGTATTGTGAGAGGATATCATAAATAAATATAAGTTTCTTTGCCCATGTAATTTAATGTGTTCATTTCTGAATCACATTATTAGACTTAAGGTATACTATTGAGTATCTCACAGGGAGCCAAGCCCAAAGTACCAAACCTAGGGTGTGCTGGGGCTGAGGTATAAAATCAGGTTTGTCAGAATCTAAACTACGTCTTTGTTTGACTACACAGTTTTCCCCTCTCAAATTCAAATTCACCCTTAAGAGCTGTGTGATTACTTTAATTCTCAGCTCAGATATCACCTAGTGAGACATTTCCTGATCATCCAGTCCAAAAGAACCCCTCCCATACATATTTTCATATTATCATTGTTTTGAAATTTCTTTTACAGAGAGGGTCACCAAAACTAGGACATTTTTGAGAGTAAAAAGAGGCAATCTTAATCATCACAGCAGGAAAACAGGCACAAATCCAAACTGTCCCACACAAGCTGGGAGGCATTGTAGTTTTCTCCATAAAAATTACCACTACCTAAAATAACATAGAATATTTACAAATGTCTGTAAAAGTGGAATATAAACTTTTTAAAATAATTATGGGTTTTTTGTTGTTTATTATCGTAATCCAGTGCCTAGACCATACTGGTGCACAGTCAATGTTCATTACATAGTCATTGGAAGTGCTACAAAATTGAACAACACCAGTGCTTTTAAGGGGACAAAGCTACACCATCTCCTGCCTATTTCTTTGCGTATCTTTTCCCAGGTTGGTAGAATTGTGACTTCCTAATCACTTCTTTTTTTTTTTTTTTTATACTTTAAGTTTTAGGGTATATGTGCACATTGTGCAGGTTAGTTACATATGTATACATGTGCCATGCTGGTGCGCTGCACCCACTAACGCGTCATCTAGCATTAGGTATATCTCCCAATGCTATCCCTCCCCCCTCCCCCCACCCCACCACAGTCCCCAGAGTGTGATATTCCCCTTCCTGTGTCCATGTGATCTCATTGTTCAATTCCCACCTATGAGTGAGAATATGCGGTGTTTGGTTTTTTGTTCTTGCGATAGTTTACTGAGAATGATGATTTCCAATTTCATCCATGTCCCTACAAACGACATGAACTCATCATTTTTTATGGCTGCATAGTATTCCATGGTGTATATGTGCCACATTTTCTTAATCCAGTCTATCATTGTTGGACATTTGGGTTGGTTCCAAGTCTTTGCTATTGTGAATAATGCCGCAATAAACATACGTGTGCATGTGTCTTTATAGCAGCATGATTTATAGTCATTTGGGTATATACCCAGTAATGGGATACTAGAAATACCATTTGACCTAATCACTTCTGATCTTGGCTACTTCAGCTGCTCATTCTAATCTGTGTTATGGTTCTGTTCTATCTCTACCTGGTACTTCTTCCAATCATAAAAAATGGTTATAGATGATTGAGAGCTTTGGAAGTGTGAATTCTCTCTAACTGTACACATTTTTAAATGGGGTAGGTCCTGTATATTTGCTCATTTATTTAAAAAGTCATACATCTTATGGTTGATTTATGTATAAATGTCAATGTATTTGTATTTTCTCATTTTTCTACGGGGAACATAGTATATGTATAATAGTTGAATTTTAATGTTTTTAAAATAAAAAATACATAGTTATATCTCTATAAGATAAACTAATAAATTAATATTAGAAATTTATAGGTTCTTCCCATCTTCAAATACGGTAAAATTACTGGAAACAGATACCGCCTTGGCTGTACTATCATTTTAGAGATTTTACACACACAAAAAAACATATTACCATGCTTTGAGTAAAGTATTACCAGGCTTTAAGTTGATCTGTTCTCTAGCTGCAGTTTTCTTCTCCTGGAGAAAGTAGTAAATCTTCCGAGCTCAATATTATTACCTCTACAATGGGAAGATTTTTATTTTTCAAGACCACCAGATTAGGATAAGAGACTTAATGCCTACCAAATCAGTCACATTCCTGTTCTATAACATGTTAAGATACATAGAGCCTGTTTTATGATGGGAGATACAAAAAGAATTTCCTAATCATCTTGTAATTCCCTGAGCCAAACAAAAGTCAAAAGGCTTTAAAGAACTAGGAAGCCAGTTCTATAAAAAGCTTTTAGAACTTTAAAGATCAGTTTTATGCTGTGTCTACTGAATTCCCCCAAGGGAAACTATACAGCCAAGTGCTGGGTATGTTCCCAAATACATGCAAATGTTCCTTCCAATGATGCCCTCCTAGCCTATCTTCAAGTAAAAGCACAATCCCTGAACTTAGAAGGTTGAGAAACTTGTTTGCACTCAAAGTGGTACAAGTCCTTAACACAATGGCAACAATATAGACAACATTGTGTTTATCATGTCACTCATATAAACGAATTTTTTGTGTCAGAATATATTCTTGGATCATAGACACGTTACATCTCAATGGATCTTAAAAATCATTTGGTCTCCTTTCTTTATTTTCGGAAGAGACAACTGGACCTGAGTTATTCAAGTGATTTTACTAAGGTCATAACAGCTAATTGGTCCACGTACTGATTATTACTCTCCCATTCCACAAGCACATTGCTCTCACAACCTTACATTGTGACAAGTGCCTCAGGTGGTGGCTTGGTGGGGTAGAAACACTTAGACCTGGCAAAGAAAATGACTTGAACTTTTATCTTTGCACCATCACGTCTTAGCAGGTGACCTTGGACAAGTTTATATTCCCCCCATGATATCAGTTTCCTCATTGGAAAAATAAAGTGATCCCAATTCAAGGTTCTGCTGAGTACTTTTACAAGCCAGCATTTGTAAGGACAGTGGCTGGAATCAGTACTCATTCAAACAGCACTAAGTCCTGTTTCAGATACTTATAAATCGGTGTAGTGTATTATGTAAAACATTATGCAATTATTTTAAATTCCTTAGAAAATGTTAAAATGTGTTCACTTTCTATTGATTTTAAAATGTTCAAAATTAGGTAGAACATATGACTCAAAGACTTCCTTCATAAATGATAAAATTATACATTAATATACTTAAAGGGTTTTACTTAATTATGCTTTATTACTCTCCTACCAAAAGATATTTCCTACCCAAAAATGTCAGATGACTTGTATATTATACAAATATGTGCAATATGTATTCTTGCTAACACTTTTTGAGTCTAAACTCCTTAATTTTCAAAAAATTTGTAATTAAGTTTGTTTTTATTGTTCAATTCCCACCTATGAGTGAGAACATAGTGGACACAGGGTGGGGAACATCACACACTGGGGCCTGTCATGGGGTCGGGGGAGAGGGGAGGGATAGCATTAGCAGATATACCTAATGTAAATGACGAGTTAATGGGTGCAGCACACCAACATGGCACATGTATACATATGTAACAAACCTGCACGTTGTGCACATGTACCCTAGAACTTAAAGTATAATAATAATTTTAAAAAGTTTGTTTTTTTCACCAAAAATAAGATTAACTATTAATCTTGGCTTTTTCCTAGGATATAAAGTATAGTAAAAAAATTTTTAAACTACAATAACATGTAGAAATTAGTTACTTCACAAGCCAATATTAACAACCTACTCATTCTTTAAATTATTTATGAAATATTATAAAAGCATAACAGATTTGCGTAGATGTTAAAGTCCTAGTTTTAGGAAAGACAACCATATTTAATACATTTTATTATTTTATGTTTTAAATCTTCAAGTATTACCAGTGAAATAAGATGTAGAGAAGAATTTTATTATGAAATATGAATTTTAAAATTTCAGTAGGTATATCAATTTGACCAATGCACAAAGACTACCCTCTCAGAATTTAGAATAAGAAAAGTAGTCATGGGAAATGTGAAATCAGTCCATTCCAGCTTCTAAAACGCATAAGAATTCAGGTACATGCTGCTTCCTTTTATTTCATTTAACATGATAGCAGTATTTTTATTTTAAAGTAAGCATTTTTTATGTGCTTTACAGATTTATTTTTTTTAACTTTTATTTTAGGTTTGGAGGTACATGTGTTATATAAGTAAACTAGTGTCACTAGGGTTTGTTTTATGGAATTTCAGCAGCCAGATAGTAAACCTAGTACCCAATAGTTATTTTTTCTGCTCCTCTCCCTCCTCCCACCCTCCTCCCTCAAGCAGGCCCCAGTATCTGTTGTTCCCCTCTTCGTGTTCATGAATTCTTATCATTTAGCTCCCACTTAGAAGTGAGAACACGTACAGTCTCGAGTAACTGGGACAATGTGTATGCACCACAGGTATTTGGTTTTCTGTTCCTGCGTTAGTTTGCTAAGGATAATGACCTCCAGCTTCATCTGTGTTCCCACAAACGACATGATCTTCTTTAAAGTAAGCATTGTTTTTTAACTGGCAAGACAGTATACTATAGATCCTGATATCTGATATCTGTAGAACAATAGGTCTGTGCTTAAAATCTGGCTTCACCACCTCATCTCTACTAAAAGATACAAAAAATTAGCCAGGCGTGGTGGCGGGCGCCTGTAGTCCCAGCTATTTGGGAGGCTGAGGCAGGAGAATGGCGTGAACCCGGGAGGTGGAGCTTGCAGTGAGCTGAGACCATGCCACTGCACTCCAGCCCTGGGTGACAGAGTGAGACTCTGTCTCAAAAAAAAAAAAAAAAAAAAAAAAAAAAAAAAAAAAAAATCTGGCTTCACCAATCATTAGTCGTATGATCTCGGGCAAGTTACTTATGTTAGGTTCAGTGACCTTATCAATAAATTTGAGATAATGATAGTCCGACCTTCATGAGATTTTTGTTAGTAAAGGCAAGTGACATGAAGACTTAAAATAGAGCCTGACACAATGTGTAATTGTTCAGTAACAAGTGTTTTTATTGTAATAATTTTCCTAATTTCAGCTAAGGTCTGTTGTGTCTTTAATATGTGTGGCACATTCAGAAGGTATGGTAAGGGATTTTAAGATGCATGAGGCAATAGCTGCACCATAAAGGAGCTTGACATTTAGTGGAGAATATAAAACATACAGGCATGCCTCATCGTATTGTTCTTTGCTTTATTGCACTTCTCAGATACTGCATTTTTTACAAATTGAAGTTTCATGGCAACCCTGCCTTTTGCAATACTATCAGCGCCATTCTTCCAAAAACACATGTTCACTTCATGTTTCTGAGTCACATTATGATCGTTGCAATATTTCATAGTTTTTCATTATCATTATATCTTTTATGATGATCTTTGAGGTTACTATCGTAAGTGTTTTGGAGTGCCACCAACCATACCTATATGAGACAGTGAACGTAATCAATAAATGTTGTGTGTGTTCTGACTGCTACACTGACCAGCTATTCCCCATGTCTTTTCTTCTCCTTGGGCCTCCCTATTTCCTGAGATACAACAGTATTACAATTAGTTCAATTAATAACTTTTTAATGGCCTCTAAGTGTTCAAGGGAAAGGAAGAGTCACACATCTCTCACTTTTAAATCAAAAGCTAGAAATAATCAAGCTTAATGAGGAGGGCATGTCCAAAGCCAAAATAGCTGAAATCTCATGTCAAACTGTTAGTTAAGTTGTCACAGCAAAGGAAAAGTTCTAGTAGGAAATTAATATTGCTATTCTAGTGAAGACATGAATAGTAAGAAAGTGAAACAGCTTTATTGCTGATATAAAGAATGTTTTAGTGGTCCGGGTAAAAGATCAAACCTGCCACAACTCCCCCTTAAGCCAAAGCCTAATCCAGAGGAAGTCTCTGATACAGTTTGGATATGTGTCCCTGCCCAAATCTTATGTCGAGTTACAATCCCCAGTGTTGGAGGTGGGAGAAAATTGGATTATGGGGTGGATTTCTCAGGAATGGGTTAGCACCATCCCCTTGGTACTGTTCTCACAATAGTGTGTGGGTTTTTGCAATAGCTGGTCATTTGAAAGTGTATGGCATTGGCTGGGCGTGGTGGCTCACGCAGGTAATCTCAGCGCTTTGGAAGGCTGACATGGACATAATCACTTGAGGTCAGGAGTTCGAGACCAGCCTGGCTAACATGGTGAAACCCTGTCTCTACTAAAATTACAAAAAAAATTAGCTGGGCATGATAGTGCATGCCTATAATCCCAGACACTCAGTAAGCTGAGGTAGGTGAATCACTTGAACCCAAGAGGCAGAGGTTGTGATGAGCCAAGGCCGTACCACTACACTTCAGCCTGGGTGAAAGAGTGAGGCTCTGTCTCAAAAAAAATAAATAAATAAAAATAAAAAAAAAAGTGTGGCATTCCCCTCCCTCACTCTCTCTTACTTCTGCTTTTGCTCTGTCATGTGTCTGCTCCCTTTGCCTTCTGCCATGAGTGGAAGCTTTCTGAGGCCTCCCCAGAAGCAGATGCTGCTGTGCTTCCTGTACAGCCTGCAGAACGGTGAGCCAATGAAACCTTTTTTCTTTGTAATTTATCCAGTCTCAGGTATTTCTTTACAGCAATGCAAGAATGGTCTAATACAGGCTCTAACTCTCTTCAATTCTATGAATGCTGAGAGAAATAGGGAAGCTGCAGAAGAAAGTTTGAAGCTAGCAGAGGTTGGTTCATGAAGAAGCCATATCCATACCACAAAAGTGCAAGGTTAAAGAGCAAGTGCCGATGTAGAAGCCGCAGCAGCTTATTCAGAAGATCCAGCTAAGATCATTGATAAATGTTGTTCCTCTGAAAACCAAATTTTCAGTGTAGATGAAGAAGCCCCTGGCTGGGCACGGTGGCTCATGCCTGTAATCCCAACACTTTGGGAGGCCAAGGCAGGAGGAATACTTGAGCCCAGGAATTTGAGACCAGCCTGATCAACATAGTGAGGCCTTGTCTTTAAAAAAAAAAAAAAAATTAAAATTAGCCTGGCATGGTGGTGCACGCACGTTGTCCCAGCTACTCGAGACTGTACGTAGTCCCAGCTCCTTAGGAGGCTGAGGTGGGAGGGTTGCATGAGCTAGGGAGATCAAGGCTGCAGGGAGCTATGATCATGCCACTGCACCCCACCTGGGTGACAAAGTAAGACCCTGTATCAAAAAATAAAAATAAAGAAAAAGATTTATATTGGAAGAAGATGCCATCTAGGACATTTATAAGTAGAGAGAAGAATTCAATGCCTGGCTCCAAAGCTTCAAAGGGGAGACTGACTCTCTTTTTAGGGACTAATGCAGCTTATGACTTTAAGTTGCAGCAAATGCTTCTTTATCATTGTAAAAATCCCAGGGCCCTTAATAATTATGCTAAATCTACTCTGTCTCTGCTCAATAATGGAACAACCAAACCTGGATGACATCATGTCTGTTTATATCATGGTTTACTGTATATTTTAAGCCCAGTGTTGACACCTACTGCTTAGAAAAAATGATTACTTTCAAAATGTTACTGCTCATTGACAATGCGCCTAGTCATTCAAGAGCTCTGATGGAGATAGACAAAGAGATTAATGTTATTTTCATGCCTGCTAACACAACATCCATTCTGCAGCCCATGGATCAAACAGTAATTTTGACTTCCAAGTCTTATTACTGAAGAAGCACTTTTCATAAGGCTATAACTGTCATAGATAGTGATTCCTCTGATGATCTGGGAAAAGTAAATTGAAAACCTTCTGGAAAGGTTTCACCATTCTAGATGCCATTAAGAACATTCATGATTCATGACAGGAAGTCAAAACATCAACATTTGGGAGAAGTTCATTCTAACATTCATGGGTGACTTTGAGAGGTTCAAGCCTTCAGTGGAGGAAGTTGCTGGAGATGTGATGGAAATAGCAAGAAAACGAGGATTAGAAATGGATCATGGAGATGTGACTGAATTGCTGCCATCTAAAGAACAAACTTAAATGGATGAAGAGTTGCTTCTTATGGGTGAGTAAAGAAAGTGGTTTCTTGAAAGGAGTCTACTCCTCATGAAGATGCTGTGAACAATGCTGGAATGACAACAAAGAATTTAGACTGTTACATAAACTTAGTCAATAAACAGCAGTAGTGTTTGAGAGGATTGACTTTAATTTTGAAAAAAGTTATCTTGTGGGTAAAATGTTATCAAACAGCATCAGATGCTTCAGTTAAGTCCTTGATGAAAGAGTCAATCAATATGACAAACTTCATTGTTGTCTTATTTAAGAATTACACTAGACACCTCAAACTTCAGCAGCCACCGTCCTGATCAGTCAGCATTTGTCAGCATAGAGGCAAGACCCTCCATGAGCAAAAAATTACTTCTCACTGAAGGCTCAGATGATAGTTAGCATTTTTTAGCAATAGAGTATTTTAATTTAAGGTATGTCCATTTTTTAGACATAATGCAATAACACACTTCATAGACTACAGTACAGTGTAAACAAAACTTTTACGTGCACTGGGAAGCCAAGAAATTTGTATGACTCACTTTAATGTGATATTCACTTTATTGCTGTGTTCTATAATGGAACCTGCAATATCTCTGAGATATGCGTATATATAGAAAATTCAATACAGGCTTGAATGTATTAAGCACCACAAGAGAAAAACAGATAGTGTATTACTAGACTCCAAAGAGAAAGAGCACAGAGTGTTGGTGGCAAGAGATACATTCTTAGCATTGTTAATATTTGAGGTGGGTTTCACTGGCCATGGGTGTGGAGTTGGGGATTGGACCTCAGGAAGAGCCAAGAAACAAAGGCAGGGGATATAAGAGATGAATGCATTGCTAGGATTCAATTATCCAACAGGTATTCATTAAGTACCTATCCTTTGCTAGGTCCTCTTCTGCAAACTTTGGATACATCCATAAACAAAAGATCTTAGCCTCATGTAGTGGGGAGTCAGATAATACACATACTAAGCCAGTAAATTAAAATGCATGTCAGTAGATGATAAATACTCTGGGTAAATATACAATAGGATAAGTCGGTTTGGGAAGACTGTGGAGGTTAGAGTGTGCATTTGTTTAACGGGGCCATCACTATAAAATATCACAGACTACGTAGCCTAAACAACAGAAATTTGTTTTCTCACAGCAATTGAGGCTAGAAGTCCAAAGTCAGGGTATGAGCAGGTTGGATTTTTTTCTGAGTCCTTTCTCCTTGGCTTGCAGATGGCCACCTTGTCACTATGTCTTCATGCCATCTATGCTGTGTGCTTGTGTGCTCCTGGTATCTCCCTGTGTGCCTAAATTTTCTCTTCTTATAAGGAAATTGGTCAGATTGGATTAGGGCCCATCCTAGAGGCCTCATTTTAACTGAATCACTCCTTTAAAGATCTTATCTCTAAGTACAGTCACGTTCCGAGGTACTGGGAGTTAGGACTTCAACAAACAAGTTTGGGATGGGGAGGCACAATTCCGTCCATAACAGTGTGGTTGAAATTTAAATAGAGTAGTCAAGATAGACTATCAGAGAATGGCATTTGGTCAAAATCTTGAAGCAAGCAAGAGAAACATAGAAATATCTGGGAACACAAATTTCAGGCAGACAGGCCAGCCAGTGCAGAAGTCACAAGGCAGGCTGTGTTCCATGTGTTCAAGAAGCAGAAAGCATGTCAGTTTGCTGAAACAGAGGAAAACCAGGGAGTAAATGGAGAAGACAGAAGAAAGGCAAAGGGAAACAGATTATATGAGGCCTTTTAGGCCATGGTGAGGACCTAAGCACATGTCGTGAGTGGAATGGGGAACCACTGCAGCATTCTAAACACAGCAGTTACAATTAAGTTGTAGAGCAGAGGTCAGCAAACTACTGGCTGTGGGCTATATCCAGTCTATTGGCTGTTTTTTTGCATGGTCCATTAACTAAGAATTGCCTCTGCATTGTTAAATGATGGAAACCAAAAAAAAAAAAAAAAAATCAAAAGAAGATTTTATGACACTTGGAAATTATATAAAACTGAAATGTAATGTCTAATGATAAAGTTTGCATGAAACATGGCCATGCTCATTCATGTATATATTGCCTATGGCTTCTTTTGCATTATAATGGTAGTGTTGAGTAGTTGTAACAGAAACTGTCTGGCCCACAAAGCCTGCAATACTTACCATCTGACCCTTCACAGAGTAAGTTCTCTGGCCCATACTATGGAGGGTCAAGAATAGAAACAGTGGGGCCAGGCGCAGTGGCTCACGCCTGTAGTCCCAGCACTTTGGGACGCCGAGGCAGGCAGATCACCTGAGGTCAGGAGTTCAAGACCAGGCTGGTCAACATGGCGAAACCCCGTCTCTACTAAAAATACAAAATAATTAGCCAGGTGTGGTGACTCATGGCTGTAGTCCCAGCTTCTTGGGAAGCTGAGACACAAGAATCACTTGAACTCAGGAGGAGGAGGTTGCAGTGAGCCAACATCGTGCCGCTGCACTCCAGCCTGGGTGACAGAGTGAGACTCCATCTCAAAAAACAAAAGAATACCAACAGTGGGAAGAGTGGTGGCTGTGACTAGGGTGGTAGCAGTGGAGGCTGCAGTGGGAGTTAGAAAGCATTGCTGATATGGCAGAGTGAAAGAAATGATTGGAAATATGGATCAGGGAGGGGTCATGGCATTGGCATGCATACCAGTGGAACAGGATGCCCTACAGGCCTTTGAGTGGAGAGGCTCCACCATTGCAGCAATGCTTTAGGAAACCCTATTGGCAGCAGATGGCTGCAGGGAACTGGCAGTGATGGTAGATTCAAGAGGTACTGATGGCCTGGAAATGAAGAGAGGAAAGCAATAAAGAGGTAGCTTCAAGAGCATCCTGAACACATTGAGCAACTTTTCCATTTTCTGTGCCAGTGAGGAACCTTCTGTGATAATATAGCAGTTTTCAAACAACTTTAAAAATATCTTGAAGTGCTAGAATACTAGTATTCTAATTATATACCCTTTGAATTAAAATAGAATTCTTCAAGTGAATCAGGCCAGATGCCTTTTACAAGTTAAGCCTTTGGATGTGTAATATTGAAAATAAGAACTCAAAAGAAGACTGTCAGTAATCCCTAAGTGGTCTGAGGGACTCAGAATCTGGATTTTAACTTATGTAATTCACATTTATTTGTAAAAGCCAAAATGTCTAACTTGGCATTTCTGTTTTTTTAATGGACTGCTTTCATAATCTATATCTCTGATCTTAAGGTACTTCTGTAGAAATCCATTATCTTTGCTAAGATTTAGTGCACCATGTTTTTTTTTTTTTTCTGGAACATATACTTTAGAAGATTGATGGATGAAAAAGACAATCTCAGTTATAACTCTTAGAGATATTTTTGCTCTTTCCTTTAAAAAACCTTTATTTCATAAAATGTGATTGCAGTATTAATTATGTAATTTTATCTGATATATTTAAAGACATACTCAGTATTTCATGGGTTATGTCCAGTTATATAAATTTGCTTCATAACATATATTTTCCAACTTTACTGAGTCCCATCTTTGTAAATACAAGCTATGATAAGTAAGTCAAAACACAAAACACTCCAATATAGGAATAACAGGATAGACTAAAATCTCATTAATGTTGTCTACAAAAAAGTTACATAGCATAAAATAGACCTGGAACATGAAGCTGATTTATTCACATATGACAGAGTACAAAGTTCCTTGAATGAGTATATTTCTGGTGACAGAATCTTTAAGGAATAACCATTTTGAATTTGGACTAGTTGAAAAAGTGTGAAATATCTCTGCTGCAATGGGAGGAAAGTAGGATCTCCTGTTCATCTAAAAATAATCATTCTTTAACAAGAATGGAGAGGCAATTGGGTACCTTCACTAGGATTTCCAAGGGAAGAGTCGTCTTTTGACAAGACTTGAGGACAACTTATCCAGATTATGATTTGACTTTGGAAATGTCACTCTTAAGTTTATATTGAGGTTATCATGTTAGGAAGATGATAGCATTCATTTCATATTTTCTAATTTATCTTTGTTAAACGTGAGGTGGCAGTCCTTTGGGGCTTTAGAAGTTCTCTGACTGTGGGAAGTAAAATGTAAAAGTTTCAAAAATGTTGATAATAAAAACAGCTGGTGAAGGCAGTCATACTCTAGAAAGGGACACAGTGACGCTCCACCCTAGTCCCATCATTTTTCAGAGAAACCTGAGACCTAAGGAGACCAAGTTTATTGCGTTTCTTTATGCTCCATATGGTTTTCTCAGTATATAATTGTTGTCAGACCAGATTTACTGAACAGCTTAGTGGTCGTGCTCAAGCTAGGACCCTGTTCTTGGGCTAAAATCCCATTCTCTTTCTGCTAGAGACTAGATCACAAGTCCTCCAGGTATATGATACATATATTGGTAGAAGTAAGCTGATTTTACATGACACTGAAACTTGGCATTGAAAAGTAGTTGGATCATGTAATATGGAAGCAGTCCCTTTCATGTTTTCTTTCAGGCTTTTGATGGCCTCAATGGACATCCTCAAGTTACTACACATATGTCCGTATCAACACCCTAAAACATGTGACTCTCTACTTTTCATAAGAGAAAACATATGAAACTCAACCTTCAGCAAGGCAAGGTGGTAAATTGAAATTTTTAGAAAATGCCCAGATTATTTTTTGATGGTGTTTCTTTTCTTTTAATAAAAAAATTGGTGAGTACATAGTAAGTGTATACATTTATAAGATACATAAGATATTTTGATACAGGCATGCAATGTGAAATAAGCACATCATGGAGAATGGGGTGTCCATCCCCTCAAGCATTTATCCTTTGAGTTACAAACAATCCAGCTACATTCTTTAAATTATTTAAAAATATATGATTAAGTTATTGTTGACTATAATCACTCTATTGTGCTATCAAATAGTAGGTCTTATTCATTCTTTCTAATTATTTTTTGCACCCATTAATCATCCTCACCTCCCCCACAACTTCTCCCTTCCAGCCTCTGGTAACCGACATTCTACTCTCTATATCCATGAGTTCAATTGATTTGATTTGTAGATCCCACAAATAAATGAGAATATGCAATATTTGTCTTTCTCTGCCTTGTTTATTTCACTTAACATAATGATCTCTGTTTCATTATTGATGTTACAAATGACTGGATCTCATTCTTTTCAATGGCTAGATAGTACTCCACTGTGTATGTGTACCACATTTTCTTCATCCATTCATCTGTTGATGGACAATTAGGTTGCTTCCAAATCTTAGCTATTGTAAGTAGTGCTGCAATAAGCATAGGAGTGCAGACAAAAACCCAGATTTTGTTTACAGGAGATTTTTATGGGCATCTTCCATTTATGAAAAACAGTAATTTTATAAGAATTAGATATTTGATTTAAAATAAATTTATTTCACTAAAACTAATTTATTTTTAAAATACTGACCCAAAGGTTACTCAGGTGTGGCAAAACTCACACAGGAATACTAGGTAAAATACAGGTACTGTTCAACCATGAATGGGATCCACAGATGATTGAGGTATGGAAACACTCCTCTAGATACTGCCAAGGCTGTTGTATCTGGAGATGAAAGTGGTATGATATAGGATTAAAATTCCCAAAATAAGAACAAGGGAACAAGTTCTACTTCTTGATTTGTTGGGTAAGGACACTCAATCTGAGCTTCATTTCTCAAAGGCACAATGAGAGAGGTTACAGTTGGGAAGAGCTAAGTATACTGCATCTCAGACTTTCTAAGATAACTTGTAAAAGTGAAAACACTGCTGTCTTCAAGATGTAATATTCAAAGCAATTAAGGAACATAACCCACTTGTAGCCATTATGGGCTAAATTGCCCAAATAATCGCCATACACTATTACCTCTTTAAAGTTACTTTCACAAAGAAGTATTCAGATCAGTTTAACCCTGCAAAAAGCTTATTTGGATTAGACGTAGAGAAAGCCCACACCAATGATCCTGTATATAAGGTAGAAATGTACATGGGTGTGTGTGCACACATACACACACCACAATCTTGCCTGATCTGTGATCTTCCATGTTCAGTGTTCATGAGAGCTCAGTTTCTGGTTATTACTCTAAGAAAAAAATTAGACTAGACACAAATTCAATACATATAGCAAAGAGCTATAAGTATCACTTTAACTCTGCTGACAAGTCATTAATATTCTCCTCTCTAAATCTGTTTTTAACATTTTTAAAGCTAACGCATTTAGAAGATTGAGTTTTCTGATAAGACATTGTTTATCTTCATTTTTGTTTTCAAACACTCCCTGCAAGGCATGAGACTATGTGCTGGTTTCTTTGCATCTAAAATGAGTTAGGATTTTTTAAATCACATATAGAAACATGTACAATAATGTGTCAATTAACTGACAATTAAGCTTTAGTTCTTCAGTAACGCTGACTACAAGTCAGTCATATGGAAGTGATGAAGTAAGGTACTGTTGTTTAATACTTATCCTGAAATCAGCTGTTTTTTAAAAAAATTGCTTAAAGTTGGCTGTTTACTTGGAATAACACAGGAGCATAGTTCATTACCCACCACCACTAGCTAGTTCAAGTCTGTATAGTACGGTAGTATAGTTGATTCAAAGTTATAATTGCATCTTTACAGATAGAAAATCAGGTAACACCTCATTTCCACTGGTTTTTATATTTATTTTCAGAAAAGTGTAAATTAAATTTCTAGAAAGTGGGATTTGGAATAAAGCCCAATATTATGTTAGTGGAGGGTTTATTTTTTAAATATGCCATTCTAAAATAAAATATTTTATTCTTATTGTTATAATTTATTTAAATTAACTTTCTGCCATCATAATTAAGCACTGTATTTTATTTTAAATGAAAATTAATACCTTAACTATTAGAACTTAATCAAGATGAAGCTACTTAGTGTCAAAATAGAAGACAGTATATCCTGATCAACTAAGAGAACCAAGAAGATATAAAGAATGTAATGGAAAATAACACTTTTGAGTCATTTTGAGTATATACTGTTGATAACTGTGGCCGTAGGCGGGTAATTTCGACTGTCTGGTTTCTTGCTTCATTAGAGTTGTTTTATTTGTGAAAAGCACTTTATAACTTGAGAGATGTTATATAAATGCTAGTTGCTTACAAGTATCCCCACCTCCTGGTATTCACCCTTTCCTATACTCTCCTCCCATATCACACCAGGCTATGGCAATCATGATGCTATGCCATTTCTAAGGTTGGGGTTAAAAAAGTGCTGCAGTATTTATTCTGGTTGCTTTTTCTCTCTCTCTTTTTCTATTGGATCATTAACTCTGGATAAGCCAGGAGCCATGTCACTGTCTCCCTCTGGAGAAACCTGCATGGCAGGAAAGTGAGGCCTCCCGCCAACAGTCTTGTGCATGAGCCATGATGGCAGCAGATCTCCCAGGCCTGACAGACCTTCAGATGACTGTGGCTCTAGCCTATACCTTGACTACAAACTCATGAGCAATGCTGGGCCAGAAGCACCCAGCTAAGCCACTCGCAAAGTCCTGACCCACAAGAACTGTGAGATCAATGTTTGCTGTTTTAATATGCCAACTTTGAGGGTAATTTGTTACACAAAGGACACCTGGAACATGTGGTTATCCCAATCGTCACCTGAGCCTTCCTGAAGGAATCTTATCATACTTTCATGGTATCTGAACTAGACAGAAGAAAACAAACATGCTTACCAGTAAATATGCTTGGCCAATGAAAAATATGTAAAAACACATATTTAATATACACTGAACCTTTGTTTCAAGTGATCAGTAAATTACTATCAGAAGGTTATTATATCAGATCCAGCCTGTAACAATTCTAGGAATAGGTGTGTTTATCCCATCACAGAAAAGGAAAACAAAATTGACAGAAGTCAGGAAATTTTCCCATGGTCTCACAGCAGATGTGTGACAGAAGTCAGGAAATTTTCCCATGGTCTCACAGCAGATGTGTTACAGAACCAGTATCTTTTTGTTTTGTTTTGTTTTAAATTATTATATTTTAAGTTCTGGGGTGCATGTGCAGAATGTGCAGGTTTGTTACATAAGTATACACGTGCTATGGTGGTTTGCTGCACCCATCAACCCATCATCTACATTAGTTGTTTCTTTTAATGCTATTCCTCGCCTAGCTCTCCACCTCCCGACAGGCCCCGGTGTGTGATGTTCCCCTCCTTGTGTCCACGTCAGAACCAGTATCTTAAATATGATCTATCTTAGCATAAAATCCCTTCTTGGTAAGTTAAGTAAGCATCAATCAGGCTCTAAGAGAGAGTCTATGAAGTGCTCAGCTTTACTGCTGGGGCCTTCATACATCCAGGAGCATTTGTTCATTTACTTCAAAGTTCAGGACTGGGTTCTAGTGGGATGCGTTTGCTTGAACCCAGACCTTTAAGTGAAGGGGCATTGCTGGGGAGGAATTCAATTTTTTGGGTATCTAACTTTTTTCCTTGGAATCACTGGTCATTTAAAATGAGCATTTATTCTTGCAAGCCGTTAGGATTTAGTTTTCCTCCAACGTGGGCACTTCAGCATAGGTTTCGGGTGCTACTGTGACATACAGCTCAAAGCATCCTAATACCCCTGAGTCTGAGTAACATGTTCTCAGAATAGGGGCTCCATCAATCAATCATATCAACCCATTAACAGCAAGAGGAAAATGATGAAGTATATAGCCAAGAGAAAAACTGGATTCTGATGACAGTTGAAATGTGATGAAGATTCTGTGAAGCAGAGATAATGTAAGAAAGATGCCTGTGTGGAAATTAAATGTAAAAATGCCAATGGATGGAAATTTTCTCCAAATGTACTAGGCCTCCCCTATAATTTTAAAATGGAGCTAAACCACTTTATGATGGGAATATTACTAGGCATCCATGCAGGAGAAGTCTTCCAAAAACAGACTACTGGTTCTGAAAATTTGGCATGGTATCAATCATACACTTCTGAATCTTCAAGATCCCTCCAATAGTTTTTAAAATGTGGCTGGCTACATTTGAAGAATGTTTGTTTGCCTTCATAGCCAGCCATTCTTGTTAGATTTTGGAAACTCAATAAGCTCTGACTGTTCACAATTTAATATTTTAGTGACACATTTTTAGGTTTCTAAATCAGTTTTATGAGGCATGCGATAAAAATAAAATCAAAGTCGGCTGAACACTTATGGTGCTCAGTCAACTCTGAATATGACCTGTAGAAACACAGCAGAAACAAAACGACACTAAGTCATTTTTACTTCAATTTTATTAAAAGAAAGAGAATGATTAAACCAGTGGAAAACATAACAAGTTATTAATTTAAAAAAAAAAAAAAGTTTACTCAGCCCGGCGCGGTGGCTCACACCTGTAATCCCAGCACTTTGGGAGGCCGAGGCGGGCGGATCACGAGGTCAGGAGATCGAGACCGTCCTGGCTAACACAGTGAAACCCCGTCTCTACTAAAAATACAAAAAAATAAGCCGGGCGTGGTTGCAGGCACCTGTAGTCCCAGCTACTCGGGAGGCTGAGGCAGGAGAATGGCCTGAACCCGGGAGGCGGAGCTTGCAGTGAGCCAAGATCGCGCCACTGCACTCCAGCCTGGGCGACAGAGCAAGACTCCATCTCAAAAGAAAAGGTTTACTCATATATTTTTTAGATTCTGTCTGTAATTTTACCAGATGGTGTTAAAGTACAAAACTGAACTTCAATATGATCGATTTTTTTTTTATTATACTTTAAGTTTTAGGGTACATGTGCACATTGTGCAGGTTAGTTACATATGTATACATGTGCCATGCTGGTGCGCTGCACTCACTAACTCGTCATCTAGCATTAGGTATATCTCCCAATGCTATCCCTCCCCCCTCCCCCGACCCCACCACAGTCCCCAGAGTGTGATATTCCCCTTCCTGTGTCCATGTGATCTCATTGTTCAATTCCCACCTATGAGTGAGGATATGCAGTGTTTGGTTTTTTGTTCTTGCGATAGTTTACTGAGAATGATGATTTCCAATTTCATCCATGTCCCTACAAAGGCCATGAACTCATCATTTTTTATGGCTGCGATTGTTTTTATTCTCTAAGTTTAATAGCAACGTTGTATTTCATCATTAGGAAACATGTTTGTTGTGTTGCTTTCTCATCCCGTTTCAGATATGTGCCTTTTTCAATTTGGTAGCAAATCTTAAGCGAAGATAATTAATTTTTCTATCATTTATGAGTATTTTATATAAAAAACTAACAAATATTCCTGAATAGATAAATATGCTTATGGAAGATTAGAAAATGTAAACTTAAGAATTATTTAAAATAAGGTTGTCATGAAAATCTTTCCGTCTCCCAAGGTATAGGTATAATTTTTATCATTGCTAACAGTTCACCCATTTTACTTTGAAAATTTCCATCTTCTCCCAAATAGATTCTTTTTCAGTAATATCAAACAGAGGAGGGGACATATATTTCACCCCAAATGCTTTCAGCCTTGGTGTTTATGTTCATGAAAAGCTCGTGCATAGCAAACAAATAGTGGTAAGATTATGGTAATTGGTAATGGAGTAAAAAGAAAATGGTATGTAATTATTAGAGTGGGCATCTTTGTGCCTCAGTTTCTTCTTTAATGATAGGGGTCATCATACTTTGCATTATCTGCTCTATAAATTTAAAAAAGACAGTTGACTCCTAAACAATGTGGGTTTAGGAGTGCCCATCTCAGCACAGTCAAAAATCCACATAAAACTTTTGACTCCCCCAAACTTAACTACTGGTTGTCTGCTGTTGACCAAAAGGCTTACTGATAATATATTCAGTTGATTAACATGTATTTTATATGTTACATGTATTGTATGTTGTATTCTTACAGTAAATTAGTTAAAGAAAAGAAAATGTTATTAAGAAAATTATGGCTGGGCATGGTGTCTCATGCCTGTAATCCTAGCACTTTGGGAGGCCAAGGCCAGAGGATTGTTTGGGCCCAGGAATTTGAAAACAGCCTGGGCAACAAAGTGAGACTCTGTCTCTACGTTGGCACGCACCTGTGGTCCCAGCTACACAGGAGGCTGGGAAGGAGGATCACCTGAGCTCGGGAGGTCGAGGCTGCAGCAAGCTATGTTTGCAACAATGCACTCCAGCCTAGGTGACCCTGTCTTGGAAGGAAGGAAGGAAGGGAGGGAGGGAGGGAGGCAGGGAAAATCATAAGAAAGAGAAAATGTCTACTATGCATTAAGTGAAAGTGGATTATCATAAAAGTATTCCTCTTGATTGTCTTTACATTGAGTAGGCTGAGGAGGAGGAGAAGCAGGCAGGTGGTCTTGCTGATTTTTAGGCAAAGTGGCAGAGCTGTAGGAACTAGAAGGAGAGACGGGAGAGGCAGGCGCATTTGGTATAACTTTTATTGAAAACAATCCGCAAGTGGGCCCATGCAGTTCAAATATAAATTGTTTAAGGTTCAACTGTATGTAGATATAAATAGAGAGTATATACTTCTCACTGTGTTTATTTATTTATAAATTATAAGTAAATTGTATTACTCTGCTAAAATATTGTGTCCAAAACATAGAGAAACTGAAATATAAAATGTTAAGGTTGATAAAAAATTAAATATTTGAATACTTTTGTGGATTATCAAAGAAAGTTTTAGCTCTCATTAACATGTTAGAATTGTATATATTGCATATTGTTATCTTCTTGTATATAATAATAGAATATTTGTAATAATTTTAGTGAGGGCAGCTTGATTATATGTACTTAATTATTTTTGAAAATCTTGATACATGTCAATTCAGAACTTAGTTCTAATTTCAGTTTTATACCCGCTTTTAATGATTGAAAAAGTTTTCACATAAATATCTTCATAAAAATGTAAGAAGCACATCATACCTTGTGCTTAGTAAATGATGACATGCAGTTTCCCTCTTATCTATGCCTTAATACAGCAGTTTTTTTTTCTTCTAAAAAAAACCGGGATATATGTGCAGAACGTGTAGGTTTGTTACATAGGTATACCTGTGCCATGGTGGTTTGCTGAACCTGTTGACCCATCCTCTAAGTTCCCTCTCCTCACCCCCAACTGCCCAATAGGCCCTGGTGTGACGTTCCCCTCTCTGTGTCCATGTGTTCTCATTGTTCAACTCCCACTTATGAGTGAGAACATGCGGTGTTTGGTTTTCTGTTCCTGTGTTTGTTTGCTGAGGATAATGGCTTCCAGCTTCATCCGTGTCCCTGCAAAGGACATGATCTCATTCCTTTTTATGGCTGCATAGTATTCCATGGTATATATATGTACCACATTTTCTTTATCCAGTCTATTATTGACAGGCATTGATTGGAGTGAGATACTATGCTAAATAGTGTGATCTATCTATCAAGTTAACCAAGGTACACACAAACTAGAAGATGCTGCAGAGTACTGAAGGTGAACCTCTGTACAATGATGGGCAGCTTGCTGCACCGCCTGTCCCACCGTAGAACTTCCTTTTCTTCCATCAATGTCCAATGTGATTCAGTGGCATTCAATACAATTCATTAAGCTTTAGCTTAATTCTCCCAAAAATAAGTAAGTAGAAGCATTATTCGCAATTCTTCATAATATTTTCCTTCCAGACTTTGTTCCATACCTTACTATGGAGACTAACAATTTGTGGAATAAGGAAGTGGTCATTGTTGGCTTATCTTTTATTCTGGAAAAAGACTTATCTGTGCAGCTAGGCAATCATCATAGACTTGAAATTTTATTACAAAAATATCATGTCTGGACAAACTGTTTGAGTGGAATCTCACAGCACCTGATGCATACTTATATCATATCACTGTTATAGCTTTCTATTCCTGGCTCTGTCTCCAACATCCTCTCTCACATACCTTGTGAGACCTTGAGCCCAATAAGCTTAGCAGTGACATTGTTTGTGTGTGATGTCTTTATTAATCCTAGCAGAGCATGTGAGAGATTTTCAGTACATGGTTTTTGAATTAACGGACATGTGAAATCAAGAATAGAGGTGGTTGGGACTGCTCAAATATCCTATCTCCATAGACAAATGGGAAAAGGAGAATTGGAAAACTAATGTGAGATGAGCCGGAATTTTCCTAAGGTCTATAGAATTATGAGATCTTCCTGCAGTTTTCCCCTTTCATGTCCTACCATCTTCTGATGTCATGGGCAAAATTGTTTGAGGCTGAAGTTGGCTTCGTCTCTTTCCTCTTCAAGTTTCTCCATGGGGTGTGTCTGGAAGGGGAGTATAACTGGATTTTCTAATGTTATAGTTGTCTAGTTTCCTTCCCAGAGTTCCTGAGATTGGTAATTGATGATTTTTTAAAACATTTTTGAATGGTTGTCTATTTCTCCTTCTACTTCTTGCTATGCTTCTTTCTTCTCTGTTTATTCCCTCCAGGTCAGTGGGATTTAGAAAGGTCTGAAGTTGAAGAAAGGTAAGCAGGAGAAGAACCCATTCAATGTGGCTCTCTTTCCTCCCCCTTATTCACCACCACTAGCTGAAGCGTATCTTTTAAAAAGACTTGAAGGGACATGTAGAGAAGGTTCTATTCTTGCTTTTCATATAAAAGACAGCTTTGGCATTTTTTTTTCATTTAATGTCTGTAAAGCTGCTCTGCATAAGTACCATGTGAAACACAGAGATTAGTATTGTTAATTTAATGCAGTAAGCTTAGAGTCTTTATAAGATATCATCTCCTTTTGAACTTTATGTTCAAATCAGTAGAGACCAGAACAGAGTTTTTCAGAAGAATATTAACTTTCCTCCTTCATATATTAAGCAAATAGAAGGGCCAGAGAAAATATAAATACGTGTGCTGACACACTGGCATAAATCATCCTGATATGTAAGAGAGTAGGCCTTTTTAATTTGTTCTTTTCTCTCATAAACTGTTGGGGAAATTGGATGAACTTGCTCTACACATAATGGATACAGTAATGTGGGGAGATGATCCGTTGCAATGATGCATTTGGATAGGCTCTAATGAAGTCAAGATTCAACTTATTGATGACAAAAAGAAAACAACGGTTATGTACAAAGTATCATATATCTTCTCATCAAGCTGTCCCACTGAATCAGAGAAGCAGTGTTACCTAAGTAATGCACTATGTCTTCATCTTTTAAAAAGGAACAAAGCTGAGACATTTCAACTTGATTTTTATGCATTCTCTTTCAGGTAACTTCTTAACTTGGCACCAGTAGAATGTTTGAAGGGAAACTAAAATTCTTCTATAGGCAGGAGCAACAGAGAAATCCTTGAAGGAAAATGTCAGCCAAGGAAAATAAATTGGCTTTAATCACTGATTTTTTGAAATTAATAGATTTATATTTCTTGTTATGTTTTCTTACAGCAGATATTAAAGTTAGTTTCCACCTTCCTGGGTTCACAATAATTGAAAATGACAAAAGGCCAAAGGGGCGCCATGTATGGTCAGAGGAAGGATGAAGGCTTCAGGGGATATAGGGAGTTGGCTGCAGATGGTCCTGCAAGTGGGAAATAAAGACCTGGATAACAGAGAGAATTCTGTATCCAGCATAGTTGGGCCCCAGCACAAGTTTTGCCAAATGCCTGATACGCCCTTATGATATGCTATCTTGTTCATTGCAGACAGCACTACACAATACTCCTAAAAAATTCCTTTGTAGGAAAGGCCAGCTGGCTGGGTGCCTACTAGTCAGGTACACTTTGTTTGAAATGTTCCTATCTGTGCTTCTTAGAGCCTTGACTTATTTTAGTTTTTACATTTGTGTTGATTAACTTTTACAAGAAAATACATGTATAAAATGAGGGGGGGGGGGTGCCCTGTGATAGAAAAGACAGTAGTAACCATTCCTCAGCTTTTCCTGACTTCTTTTTAAGTTGGCAATTACTTTTTAAAGTTAGGTTTTTTAGCAATATATCACCTACTACAATATTCCATTCCTATGCATTTAGTCTTTGAATTAAATTTCTGTCTTCTAAGGCTTCTCTGCCCACGACCTCTAAATGTTAAAGAGAAAGAAAGGTTCATGAAAACAAATCTTCCTCTGTTTTACCCAGAGGAAGGTCCTGGACATGGAGGAGGTTTCCAGAAGTTATAAAATTTTCACTTTCCATATATTTCCTGAACTTTGGGGGTATGCTGGCTAATCAGAGGACCAACGATAAAGCTTTAAAAAATTATTTCTTTCTGAAAAATAACAGAAGTGATTTATTGAGAGCCCACTATATGTCAGACATTGTGCTGGTCCTCACGTCCTATTTTATTTAATCTTCACCAAAAATACTATATGATAGCCATTAATAGATCATGTGACAGATAAATTAAGCATCCATGAATTTAAGTCAGGACTTTCCAAGACCTGGAAATTCAAGCCATTTTCATTTTTTAGGCTTTTATTAAAAATTAAAGAAGTACCAAATCATGTCACAACAACTATTGTGATAATTTTATAATTATATATGGAAAACATTTAATGCAAAAACAATGCCATAAAGTTGTGCAATGCACAAAAGTCTTCACAGTAGGCATTTAAAAAATAGTCCATAGGCATTTAAAAAATAGTCTATAGGTGGCATGGTGAGATGAAGGAACAGGAATTATATTAAGAATGTTATTTTTCAACTCTCGAGTGTATATCTGGGAAGCAACTGAGAGACAGGAGATTAAGCAAACTGCCTAAAGCCACCTAGATCATAAACAACAAAGCTAGAAGATAAACTGAGGTGCCTGACCTCAGAAACTTCACTTTTAACGACTTTGCTATCTTCCTAGATAGGCCCACATTCCAAACTCTTTAACTCACCATAAGCCATTTCCAACTTTCAAATTGCAAGATGGCAAGCAGAAATATTTATCTGGTTTAAATATGCTATGGGAATAATTGCTTTCTCTGGTTCCTATTTTTTTTTTTTTGTCTCTGTTTAAGAAGTAGGTTAGGGAGAGTGTTTGTTTTGGTTGCCTCTGTTTTTTGTTTGACAGGTCTATCTACTGCAGAGCATTTGCAGGTGGTTTAAATGTGACTAGTTCACAGAACTGCTGTGCAGTTTAGGAGCATTAGCAATAGAGGTATCAGAAGACCTGTCGGGTGTGGTGGCTCACGCCTGTAATGCCAGCACTTTTGGAGGCTGAGGTGGGTGGATCACTTGAGGCAAGGAGTTCAAGACCAGCCTGGCCAACATGGTGAAACCTGTCTCTACTACAAGTACAAAAAAAAATTAGCCAGTTGTGGTGGTGCACACCTGTAGTCCCAGCTACTCAGGAGGCTGAGGCAAGAGAAAGCACTTGAGCCAGGGAGGCAGAGGTTGCAGTGAGCCAAGGTTGTGCCACTGCACTCCAGCCTGGGCAACACAGCAAGACTCTGTCTCAAAAAAAAAGAAACAAAACAAAAGCAAACAAAAAAACCTAAGTTTGAATTCTAGCTCTGAAGTTATTTAGCACTGTGACTCTGAGGAAGTTGCAACATCATTCTTTACCTTGGATATCATACCAACAAAATAGTGCTGTTGTGAGAATGAGATTTTGGAAGCTGTATAAGGATCTAGCATGGGGATTTCTGTTTTGTAGATGTCAAACTCCTCTGGAATGGACTTGCTGAAAGGATGTCCCAGAGTGTGTGCAGAAGTGCCTGAGGGAAGCTTATTGGGTTCTACAGGACCTTTCAAGAATCAGTGAGTATTAGACACCACTCATAGTTATTAGGCCTTAGAACAAGCAAGGTCAGGATCACAGGTTCAAGGCCTGTGTGGGTCAGTGAGCAACAACCAGAAGCTAGTTATGAAGCCAGTCCTAAGCCATTGAAGACATGAAGAAAGCAGGTAGTAGAGTAGCCTTGGCTTAGTCACAGCTAGGCTCTGAGCAGCCAGGGAGCATCTGCAGTCATAGCACGGTGCTCCCAAAGGCTTACACTCCGCTCCCCATGTTCCTCCGATGGGCACCTCCAAGCTACCCTTGTGGACAGGCATCAGCTTTTCACAGTAAGCAGACAATCCTCAACAATCTACACACTTTAGGAAAAATTTTTATTTAAAAAAGAAGGCCACAATCACCTTGATACACATTTTAATGTCATCCATTAACCATTTGATGACATTTAAGTAATGTCATCCATTTAATGTCATCGATAACTTCTTTTCTCAAAAGAATCAAGAATATTAGTAAGTTAGAAACCATTATCGATAAGGGCTACATTATCAGTTTAGAAAACTGATTTACAATTATTTTACAAGTTTCCTTTTCCCTGATATCCTGAAATAGGCCTCTAAGGTCTTAACCTTCTCCCACTTGCCTGATCAAAATTTGACTGCATTGAAACCTCTTCTAGGGAAATAGCTATTATAGTAACATTCTAAGAAAATGATCAATAGTTTCTTCTTTTTTGTATAATTCAAATTATTGATGTAAAATATATCTTTGCATTTTATTTTCTTTGTAAAATAACCCTTGAATCAAGTTATTAGAAACACTGTTTCAGTTTCCATTGGAAAACATGAAATGCTGGAGGATGTTGGTGTAACATCTCTCCAAATTCTCCTCTTTTTTCCTGATAAAACAATATTTATGTGTCCAGTACCAGCCTGAATCTTTTTCTTGGTTAATACTTTAGTTTTTCTAGTAATTCTGTGTATGAAGTCTGTGGTTTTTAAGAGTGAACACATACAACTGCAAAGCTATTACAATCATTTTTATATAGAAACAATTATTTTAGACCACAAAACAAAATTATATGAAGATAATGTTACATAGGAGGCCTAAGTAGAAAGAAATAGGGTTCTAATTAATCCTGCTTTTGTGCTTCTGTCATTATTCTGGATGAATTCCCTAATGCTACATTTTTAATGGGATATGCATTTCCAATGCTGTTTAGCAAATCACTTTGTAGGCAGATGTTATGGTAGCCCATCTTTCAGGCCAGTGAGCAACTTTTATTTTATTCTGTGATATGTATTGGTACGGAGAAATCACTGCATTCAGATTGTAAACTGTGTGACTTTGGACATTTTTTATGGACAAAAATAAAAATACATCTGGTAGAAATGAAGAGAAGATGTACTTTTTATTACTGGAAAAGGCTTTAAGAAAAATATAACAAATGTCAGTATCTTCCCAAGCTCGACAGACCTGTAAAGTCAGAAACATCCCAGGGCACCGCTGACTCTGCTTTGTATTTCTTTAAGCTTCAGATTGTGGAGGACACAGGGTGTATGAAATACCCTTGTAGAGGTTGCTTACAAGCAAATACCCCTTTGTCCAGGTGGTGTGAGGAAGCCCTAACACCTTTCTGAAAAGGCACTTTGGACTCAGCCCTGTTTTTAAAATGTCTACAGATCACTTGGGTCGCATTGTGTCACCCTTTACAGCAACTGAAAATTTTCTCTTACAGCGAGAAAACTGCCTTATATAGTTCCGATCTAAGCTAATTTTTTAATAGAAATAAGGACGTTTAGTTACTTTTACACTAAAATTGTTTGGTATTTTCTTCTTTGCCTTTGGCACTAGTATTTTATCTTTTCTTTCATTTTTTGCCCCTCAGCATTTCAGAGATGCCAGTTAAAAAGTGAAGGGATAAAAGAACCTATCGAGGGCAGTGAACTAGATGGAGGGTGGAGGGTGGGGGCAGGAGAAGAGATTTTGTCTAGAATCTTCTATCGGATGAGTGTCTTAGTCACTCTGGCCAATTTGGCTCATCACTCTGAGCCACAGTGTTCTCATAGGTAAGATAGATGTAATAACAACTACCTCTGAGAACTGGATTGCTATTCAAATTGAAATGGGAGAGTTCCCTGACCCCCTTGTGGGACTTGTGACGTGGATGTGGCATGCTCAAACCCCTTATGGGAGTGGGAGCACACAAGTGAGCAGGTGCAGGAGCCAGAGTGAGCACTTTTGGGCTCCAGACCCATGGCAGTGTCCAGGAGTGCTACAGTGCTCTTTTAGCCCAGCTATCCAAGAATGGCTTAAGTGTTAAGCGGCTCAGTGAAGAGTCAGTGTGACAGCCTTTTTGGGTTCCCGTACCCACTGCCTCCCAAATTCTTGTCCAGTGTCCAGGAAGAATCAGGTCACACAAACTTGAAGAATGGTGAATGTGGGGATTTTATTGAGTGAAGGAGGTGGCTCTAAATGGGATGGGGAGCTGGAAAGGAGATGGAGTGGACAGATGATGTTCCCCTGAGTTCAGCCGTCCCGTGGCTGATGTCCTTGCCTGTCGTCCCAGAAGAACTTCTCTTGATGTGTTCAGACACTTCCTCTCTTCTTTCCTTCTCTGCTACACTGCTCTGCTGCTCTGCCTATGGAGCTTGGGGTTTATATGGGCACAGAATAGGGGCATGGCAGGCCAGAGTGGTCTTGGAAAAGGCAACATTTGGGCACGAAAACAGGAATGCTTATTCTCATTTAGGGCTGCAAGTTTCCAGGCTTGAGGGTGGGGCCTTTTCTAGGGAACCTCCCTTTTCTAACCAGTATTTCCCTGCCTCCTGTCCATGTCAAAATGAGATATATATAAGTGAAATTGCTACATAAATGAAAATAACAAGTATCACTGTCATCACTACAACCACCACTAGAAAAGGGAACTAATTTTCAAGCATAGATTCTTGGACCTGTTTAAGGATAGCATTAACAATTTAGAGTAGTGGACAGAGAACCCCACATCTCATGAGCCCACTCTAACCTCCAGGTCCAAGTTAACAGTGCTGTCTTTCTCATTTCTTGCTGTTTTTTTCTCAGATGCCAGAAGTAGGGCATGTTAGTCTACTATTGAAATTCCCCTGAGCTGCACTTACTCTTGTCTTTTCCAACTGTCATCTGTGACTACCTATGATAGCACAACTTCAGGGAAGATTTGAAAAGATATGTGGGTAGATCAATGGAAAGTAAAAATATGTTATATATTCTGCTTGATGTGAAATGTCCCTAAATGTAGAAATTACTTTAGAAGGGAGACAAGGAGTTTAAAATAGAGACCAAAGTATACAGAAAAATCATAGTGTAGTTAACCTAAGTTTATTGAATGTTTCTTATCTGCAAGCCATTGGGAAAGGTCATTTAGGAGATATGAAGAATGATGCTCCCATCTCTGCCTTTCATGTATTATAGTCTAAGTAAGGGAAGCAAGAGGTATATATAAATAAGGAGGACATATACAAGTATATTTGGAAAGATAAAAGAGGGTACACAGGATAGGGAAGATATTTCCTGGTGGAAAAATCCTAAGACTTTAAATAAGGGAAATATCTCAGCTGTGCCTTAGGTAAAGTATTGATAGATAGGATATAGGAGCACATTGTAGATTGAGGGACTAGCCTGAGAAAACTTTTAGTGTTAGGAAAGGAAAGACATGGTAAACAAATGGTGATTAACCTATAGCTAAAATATAGGCTACACATGGAACAAACGAAAAGGGAAACAAACTCTTGTTGGTGCTTTTAGCTAGAGTCCTCTCCTCAAGTATTTAAGTCCATCCTCTTATTAATTAATCATCTACTATAACCACTTTACAAATAAATAAATGAGAGCACAGGAAGATTAATTAACCTACCTGAAATGAGGAATAACAAGTAAGGTATAGGACTTGAAACCATGTTTTCTTCTGTTAAAGTAAGCATATTCTTTTTATCATGGGGTCTCAAAAATAATAATAACAATCAATAATTGTGGTTTATTAAGTACTCACCCTAGGCCACAGAAATTTAATTTTTCTTAATCTTCAAAATTACCTAAAATGTAGAAGTTATTATCCAAATCTCTAGATGAAGAAATGGTGGCTTAGAAAATGTATTTGATGCATTAAAAATAATGAAAATTAATGCTGAGGAGAAATGAAGATAGAAATAAAATGGACTTGACTACCAGGCTAAGAGGTTGTTATTTTATTGAAAAACTAGTAAGGTAACCATTAAATGTATTCATTCAAAAAAATGCATAATCAGAACTGCACTTGAAGAATATGCATCTGTTAGCTTCATCCAGGAGTATGAATAAAGAGATGAGAGATTCTTAGTAAGATTTTAAAAATTTATGGTTAAAACTGCTTTGAATCAAATTAACCCAAGATTTAGGTTTTTAAAAATTAGTTTTAACTTCACTAGATCTAATCAAAATATATAAGATAATCATATTATCTTTTGTCTCATATGTTTAGGCAATGAGATGCTCTGATAAACAAAATATTTATGCCAAAATGACATAATGTACACAGAGTAACACTTTTGAAAGAAAATATCACACCATAAAATGCACAAAAGCATATTTTCTACAGGTGGCTGATCTAATAATCAATGGTCTACTTTTTAAACTGCTAATTAAATTATACATATTGTTGAGAGAGACTTTGAACAGGTCCACTTACTAATTCAGTTTTATCTATAGAATACATTGGCAAACTGACTTTAAAATTCTATTGCAAAACCAACCTCTTATTGGAGAAAACTTACAGAATCATTGAAATCCTAAAGCTGAAGGAAAGATTTAGACCGACCTTGTCACTTCACAAGGGAGACAGAGGTCACAGGGCAATGCAGTGAGGGAATTCAGGCCTGTGATCCTCAATGATGTCATGCTGTATGCTTCACTATTCTGCCCCCACCCCATCAAAACCAAAGTGTGTTGTATTAAAGGATATGCACTATGTGGGCCTGGCGCGGTGGCTCATGCCTGTAATCCCAACACTTTGGGGGGCTGAGGTGGCCAGATGACAAGGTCAAGAGTCCAAGACCAGCCTGGCCAACATGGTGAAACCCCGTCTCTACTAAAAATATAAAAATTAGCCAGGCCTGGTAATCTCAGCTACTCAGGAAGCTAAGGAAGGAGAATCACTTGAACCCAGGAGGTGGAGGTTGCAGTGAGCTGAGATCGTGCCATTGCACTCCAGCCTGGGCAATACAGTGAGACTCAGTCTCAAAAAAATAAAAAAGGGATGTGCCCTATGTGATGTGATGTGATGTGATGTGATGTTCTCTTCACAGGCTGGAACTTTATTATGTTTACAGATGCATTACTTAAGATGAAATGGAAGGCTTCTCCAAGTTAGATAAACAATCATTTTACCTCCTGCAGAAGTAAAATTACAGTATGTTTAGTATGTTTAATGAGGTCTTTAAAAGTCTGCTTCTAGAAAGTTTATCTGGTGTTGTAGAATTTTTATTGCTTTCAATATTTATCTGTATGCTGTGTATCTTAAATAAAATTACATTTAGGCTGGGAGCGGTGGCTCACGCCTATAATCGCAGCACTTTGGGAGGCCAAGGCGGGAGGATCACAAGGTCAGGAGATTGAGACAATCCTGGCCAACATGGTGAAACCTCGTCTCTACTCAAAATACAAAAATTAGCTGGGTGTGGTGACACGTGCCTGTAATCCCAGCTACTCAGGAAGCTGAGGCAGGAGAATTGCTTGAACCTGGGAGGCAGAGGTTGCACTGAGCCGAGATCGTTCCACTGCACTGCAGCCTGGCGACAAAGCGAGACTCCGTCTCAAAAAAAAAAAAAAAAATTATGTTTAAACCATTTGATAAAACACTAATAACACTTTGCTGCAGACTCATTGAACATCAAATTATGGTCAAAGACAAGTCAAGAGAGTTTCCAAAGAATCTCAGTAGATTTCAGAGGTCTGTACATGAACCCTTACACATTGACTCAAAGAAAGAGCCTCATTCAGAGTCCTGTTATTCTCATTTTACAGATAAGTCCAACAGATCAGTGCTTTTCTACTTTGATACATTGTGGAGTAGAAGAAACATTAATAATTCTAATTTCATAAATAATAATCCTAACTACTATAATATATCAAATAATGAGTACCTCAGTGCCTATTATGACTTCAGCACTATCTTAGCTGTATCTCTAATTCTCACATCAACTCTACAGCCTAAGAATTTTATCCTGATTGGAGATGAGGAAATGAGAATTAAAAGTGATTTGCCTTGCCTGGATTCAGTCACAAAGTATGGAATGAAGAAAGGGAGTCTATCAGACACATGATCTATAGATCTGTAATCACAAAAAGACATGGACCGGAAAATAATAAGCCAACAGACGCAACACACTAATGCTCACTGACAGTCTTAATTTCTTTAATAAATAAAATAACGAAAAAGCAAGTAAAAAAAGACTGATAAAAGAATTAAAAAGCAAGTGATCACAGAGCAGCGTTGAAAAGTCTCAATAGTGCTTTCTCTTATTGCCACATGACTACTCAGGGTGGTTAATATTTCTCAGCTATTATTACTGTTATTATTATTCATCACACTAGCTGACATTTATTGACCTGGGTCAGGGAAGGCTTCCTGAATGAAGGGAAATGGTAGCAGTGATGTGAGCAGTTAATTAGTCAGTTGAAAGGAATGTGGAGGTCAGGATGGGGACAGTGGTGGATGGAGTATCCTAAGTGTGGGGAACATCGTGTGCAAAGGCTCAGATGTAAGAGACTGTTATGGTTCCTTTCCAACCTGAGCCTGGCAGAATAGCTCACATAAAGAAAGTCAAGAAGAAGGGCCATTTTGCCATCGACAAGAAGGTGGCCAGAGGATACACCATCAATATTTAGAGGTGCATCCATGGAGTGGGATTCAAGTAGTAGGTCTTATGGGCACTGAAAGAGATCTGGAAATTTTCCATGAAAGAGATGAGAGCTCCAGATGTGTGCATTGATACCAGGCTCAACAAAGCTATGTGGCATAAAGGAATAAGAAATGTTCTATCTTGTACTCTTGGGTGGCTGTCCTGAAAAGCAATGAGATGAAGATTCACCAAACAGGCTGTATACCTATTTTGCCTGTCACCACTTTCAAAAATCTACAGTTCATTTCAATGAGAACTAACTGCTCGGTGTCAAATAAAGTTATTAAACTGCAAATAAATAAATAAATAAAAGAGACTGTTAGCAGTTGAATTATGCACTCCTAAATTCACATGTTGAAGTTCTAACCCCCAATATTTCAGAATGCAACTTTATTTGAATATAGGATCATTGAAGATATAATTAGTTAAGATGAGGTCATACTGCAGAAATATGGGCCCTTAATCCAATGTGACTGTTGTCCTGATAAAAAGGAGAGTTTTGAACACAGGCTCACACAGGAGGGATGCCATGTGGACCTGAAGGTAGAGATATGGGGTGTTGCTTTGGCAAGCTAAAGAAAACCAAGATTGCCAGCAAACCACCAGAAGCTAGGGAGGAGGGACATGGAGTAGATTCTTCCTTACTACTCTCAGAAGAAATTAACCCTGCTGATGCTTTGATCTTGGACTTCCTGCATCTAGAACTGTGAGACAATATATTTCTGTTGTTTATGCTTCTCAGTTTGTTTTACTTTGTTATAGCAGCACTAGCAAACTAATACAGAGATTAAGTAGTTCAAAGACATGCAGCTTAGCTCCTGATTCTCAGTCATCAGTTAAGGATAAACTGTCCTCTACCCACTAGTAAGGTGGCAGAGAGATGCCCAAGATATTTTAGAGCCATCCCATTCATAATAATCAATATTTTGCAGAACACATTTGGGGCAAAAATTTATGCATGGTGATCTGTTAAATGCACTTAATGACAAACACTTGATTTCTCTGTGTTATATGCTCATTCAATTAACAAGCATTTATTTAGCATGCATGATGTGCCATCTTCTGTAGGATAGTGATCAGAAGCTTGGGTTCTGTGAACAGAATTAAGATCAGGGACCCCACCTTTTAGGATATATGTTTTGGAAAATATTCTACCTTTATGTGATGTCAATATTCTCATCAACTTCCCCAATGAAAGGAGATTAAATAAGAGTATAGTTATAATACATTTAGTGGAGCATGTGTTTTATCACAAATATACTCTAAAACAGCCATGTTCTTATTGTTATTATTTTGTTATGTTGCTTAGGGTAGGAAGATGTTCATTTTATCCCTCCTGCCCTCCCTTTAGACTCGTGGTCTCTCCCTGCTTGTAAAATGTGTTGGCAGTTTCTGGCTCTGTTCCCTGTCTCCTCATTTCGGCTTTTGATGGGGCATGATGATCAGATGGCCATGATTAGTTCTTTGGCTTGCATTGCAGATTATCTATTAAGTAGCCATCTCCTCAGCCACCGAGGCATATGGTCAGCACTTCTAGGGCTTAAAATAAATCTGCATTTTAACATGTGGAATTTCATTATGCAAAAGAGAGCTCATATGGGATCTAATCTTGTTATTTGTTATGCTGTACACATATACTTGCTGCCTTCTGGATGGAATAGTACATTAGGCCCCTGGGTCTTTCGTTTTATTGGCATTGCACAGATATTCTGGGTGAGGACATTTAGGAAGTAGCATCAACCCTTAAGTATGCAGAGTATAGGAAAGAAAAAAAGAATGAGGAGCAATTTTTCTTTCCACCCTTTGCAGACTAGTCATACAGTTTTCTTTTTCTTTCCTTTTTTTTTTGAGACAGAGTCTCGCTCTGTCACCCAGGCTGGAGTGCAGTGGCGCGATCTCTGCTCACTGCAAGCTCCGCCTCCCAGGTTCACGCCATTCTCCTGCCTCAGCCTCCCAAGTAGCTGGGACTACAGGCGTCAGCCACCACACCCGACTAATTTTTTGTATTTTTTAGTAGAGACGGGGTTTCACCATGTTAGCCAGGATGGTCTCGATCTCCTGACCTCGTGATCTGCCTGCCTCGGCGTCCCAAAGTGCTGGGATTACAGGCATGAGCCACCATACCCGGCCCAGTTTTCTAATGAAACATTTACTTAACACTTGCTATGAGCCCAGTGTTTCCCCAGGTACTTGGGTGATGATGAACAAGATGGCACAGCCCTTTTATCTAGAGGTATCAAACAACTTTAGGTATCTTTAGATAAAAAAAAAAAACATTTTAATCAAGGTATTTGTTAGCAAAGATCAGCCTTTAGTGCTGATTAGAAAAAAGACACTCCTTTTCCTAGGTGAATGCATCTATGTCCTAGGCACCTGCCATTGCGAGTGGAAGTGTGGAATACACTTTAGATTGCATCCTCTTGACTAAATGCCCTTGCACCAGGTACACGATTAAGGCAGTTAAGTAACAATTGCAAAAGTAAATGGTCAGCAAGTGGCAAGGAACTAATTATATGATACTCTGAGGGCTGTGTGGTTTGGGGAAGTGTGTATGCTAGAGAAATTTATTACATTTCATTCTGTATACTTAACTGTAAATTGACTGCTTCTTGTGTGAATGAGCAGAAAGTATTAGTTTATCCACATTTGATTGAGCAAATACTTCTGATTTTCATTATAAAGCTATCTATTCTTTGTTGTAACATTTTTCCAAGCACTACTATCCTAGGATATAAATAGGTTAATGGCAAATAAGAGATTTGTTTGTTGAAATTAACTCGAGTACTTTCTAGTATTAATAGAAACTTATTTGAGTTTCCTAAATGAGGACTTCTTCAACCTATTCAGGTGTGACATGTCATCTAAGTTAATAAGTGGAGCAAAAAATAAAAATAACAGCATCAAGCACAAAAATTCAGTCTCTGGAGACTGAGAGATTTGGATTTGGATTCTAAGTCCAGTTCCTCTGCCTGCTTGTTTTGTTACCACAGGCAAGTAACTAATCCTTTACTGTGCTTATAATAATACTTCCTACGATCTTTGAATGTTGTGAGGATTAAACAGGACAATGCAAGTAAAGTGCTATGCACAGCCCCTGACACCTAGTAAATATTTAATAAGTAGTAGCTGTTGTTAATGCTGCTGGACTCTAAAATTCATAAGGCTCTACAACATGTAAACTAGCATTACACATATCACAACAATGGATTTTTCATTTATCTATATAGAAATAGATGGATGGATATATGAATATGTATGTATGTGTTTGTATACCCACGATTATGTACATGCACAATTGAGAGCATATTTACTTCTACGGCATTGTAAAACTGATATTAGCTAACATGTACAAGACTGTTCCAACTCCTGTCCTGGGTACCTCATATTAATTATTTCATCCTGATAATAATCCTGTGAAACAGGATCTGTTGCACCAATTTTGCAGATAAGAAAGCTGATGCCTGAAGATGAGTTTATGCTGCTAAGCTGTAGAAGTAAGCTGTAGAAATGGAATTTTAACCCAGGCAGTGTGCCCCAGGTCTGTGTTTCTAACAACAGTGGTAGTCTGAATTTCAACAATGAACAGGCTAATCATTATGTACAAACAGATACATTGCAATGCACAAATATGCATGCACACACACACACTTTTCTGGGTATGTGAGTATTTGCCTAAAGGTGCATAATGAATTTGTGGAATATCACCAGAGAGGTCTGGTGCTCTTGAAGTCTGTAGCCACATTTACATTTTTCTGTTTGTGGTTCCCTTTCCCCAGCAGGCGGATTGAATTATATGACATATCACATGCAAAATGAAACACTAAATGGAAACCTTTCTCTGTTGCCCAGCAATGGATGATTGCTCCACATTGCTTGAAGTTATGCTTAAGCACATCCTACTGCATTATTCTCCTTGTTTGCTTCCTCTTGCTCCCACTCACATTACTTGAACGGTGGCTCTACATCCAATTATATATCATCAAGTGGCAGAAGATGACATTAATATGGATTAACTGTATTCTTTGGTGATCTCTTTGGTGATCTTTTGGCCTCCGATGCTGAATACACTGTTGCAGCAGTTAAAACATGTACCAGGCTACATTTAACAGAAATCTGGCACTTGTAGCATATGGCTCAATGGAAAATTTGGCACTTGTAGCATGTGGCTCAAGGAAAATTTATTTTCCTTATATATCAGCAAGCACAGGAGTAGCCTTTCCAGCATGGCTTCAGCAGGTTTTCAGGCCCCAATGTCTCAGGCTCCTTACATCTTTCAGCCTAATGTCTTTAGCTTGTGTCTGTCTTCTAGAATATTCCTTTGGGTCACTAAGTGGGTGTTCCACCTCCCACCTGACATCCCCATTTTAGACAGGAAGGCCTGAGGTATTTCTCCCTATACTTTTTCATCAAAATGGTACCAAAAGAGGTGGTGGGCCAAAGAGCCTGACACTCTGTTGCCCCTAACAGAATCCAGGTTCTGCTAGAAGTATAAATGTAAAATGAATAAGTTGCTGACAAAGCCTGCCACAACTGAAAACTTATACTACAAGGATGATTTACTGTTAAGGCTGGTGTGATAGTCAAGCCAGCATAAATTGTCCACTAAAAGGTAGATCAATGAGAAGCACAACTTTTTTACCTTAAGAAATTTACCATCCAGAAGATTAGATGGATGAGCAAATAAATAAATATAGAAGTGTTAGAGGTGTAGACCTGTTGGAACTTCGCAATGTCGGTGTTAGGGCTGAGACACACAAACTTTAGTTCCAGTAATATTAAGAGGACTATAAACAACTAGTAATAATGACTTTGTATTATATACAAACTACTTTTCTGGTATTTGTCCAAATTATATATACATTTTATATGTATATCTGTATTACATAGCTATATATATACATAGATGTATATATCTGTAGCTCTATATACATAAAATGAAGTTCAATAACTTACCTGAGTTCAAATACTTAGTAAGTTAGAAAGTTAGGATTTGAATCCTGAAAGTCTGCCATCAAAGTCTTCAACTTGCAACCTATATTGAGGATTCTAAGGACATCCTGTTTTCATTTATTTGTTTTGTTGCTGTTATGTTTTGTTCTTGTAAAAGAATTCATTAGTTTCTTTGGCTCTTGCTAATTATGTAAAGCCCTTTTGAGTCATTCAGCATTCATCATATTTCATAATTGGCTTTACCCAGGGTTGGTAGACATCAGCTTGGTCACCCAATTGCACACAAGGTCACTGTGCTAGAATATTTTCCATTAGGAAGTGGTAAATTGCAGTTAACAAAATTATTCCCATTTCTCTAAACAGTTGTGAGATGGAGTATTAACAATGCCATTTCTTGGACAAAATATCCTCTTTATCCCTAATCTTCATTAGATGGCAGTCATCACTCATGTGAACATCCATATTTCCTGTTATGCCCTCTCCTTGCCTTCTCTGTCCAGCCCTCCTGAAGATAGCAGCTTACTTGCCTTGCCTCAGGCCTTGGCTTTATGATACTCCCTTCAAGAATTATGTGGTAGACAGAATTATAAAATAAGCCCCAATGAACCATGCTCTTGTAGAATATCCTCCCTTTGACTGTGAGAAAGACCTGTGCTTGTGATGCAATGCCATAATACCACTCTCATAATTAGATTGTGTTATTTGGCACAGTTTACTTAAAGAAAGGAGATCATGTTCAGTGGGCCTGATCTACACAAGCTAGCCCTTAAAAGGGCAAGGCTCTTTATGGTAACAGAGATTTGAAATCTGAAAGGGATTCAGCAGGAGAGTCACTATTGCTCACTTTTAAAGATGGAGAAGACCATATGGCAAAGAACTGTGGGTGGCCTCAAGGAGCTGAGTGGCCCCATGCTGACAACCAGCAAAGAATAGGCATCTTGTCTTACAATTGCAAAGAACTAAATTCTGCTACAACCACGAGAGCTTTTCAGAGGACCCCCAAACTCCAGATGGAAATGAAGCCTGGCTGACATCATAACTTTGACCTTGTGAAATCGTAATCAAGAGAGCCTAGTTATTTCATGTCTGGAGTTGTGATGCGCAGAAACTGAGTGATAATAAATTCATGTTGTTTTAAGATACTAAGTTTTAGGTAAAATTTTATGCAGCAGTAGACAGCTAATATCCTTTGGCTCTCTATTTTATTACTAGGTCTAATATCCTTTGGTTGTTCCAAATGTCTGACCCCTCTTTCCTGACCTCAGATATGCAGAAGTATAATAACTTGCACAGGTTATTTAGAGAGTACTAGAGTGGGCTGTGCCCAAATTATGCTAGAGGCATAAACCTCAAGGAGAAGAATAGAGATCCAATATCATTGGAACAAGTGTTTTTATTTTTGTTATTTTATGATTTGTACTAGAAAGATTTTACCAGTGTCCTCCCATATTACATACCTTCTAACACCCCCTACTATGACTACCAAAAACATAAAAACAAACACCATATGATATACTGATTTGAAGTCACAGTTCACTGGAACAAGGACAAAGTCCAAGGTGAAAGAAAATTTTTAAATTCCAAAATTAGCAGAACATGCATTAAGGGTTTTCCACATAGTGAGAAGCAAAATTTCATGCTCCTTTTCTTGCTGGGTGAAGTACAGATCCTGTGGAGTGGGTTGGGAAGGAAAATGCTTTTTCTGTTAGTTTCTGCTTCAAGGAGTTTTCTAGCAATCTATTTTAGTCTTCATTAACATATGCAGATTGAGTTTGGGGTTAAAACATAGTAGGATCATTTGTCTGGCACACACAATGGTTTCACGTGAGGATGGAAAGGCCAAAGATTTGTGGTTGTGTGCATTTTTGGTAACTGTTTGCAAAGTTGGAATAAGCCACCTGCCTGTGATAAAATATGACCCTCACTCACTCTTGTAAATTGCTTTTGCCCATTCACACTTAGAGGTCATTAATCTTGTTTCCCTTTATGGATGGACATTCAGCACATTCCCTACAGTTGATTCAGCTCTAGTTTAGAGTTGTATAAAAAAATTCACCAAGTGCATTTGGAGAAAATGTCACTTTGCAAGGCTTCAAGTTAAAAAGTGCTATCTTTATCTTAACTACACAGAAATACAGGCATTTGCAAAAGGAGCCGTGAAGAGGATAAAAGGAACAAGACATAAATAGCCAATAAATAATTACAAATTATTACCCTACAGGGGACTTTTTAAGGCCTGTTTCACTATGGATCACATGCTTGAAAACACCCTAGATGTAGGGAACTAACTACTCCATAAGACATCCCATTCTTCCTATTATCCCTTTACCACCCAAGAGAGGTACTTATTTTGAACATATTTATTTTCAATTGCCATACTGTCTTACATATCCTTCTCATTTTTATCTCTTTCTTATAGCATCAGTATGTAGTATAATGTTAAGAGACACTTAGCATGTTTTTGTTGAGTGTTAATTCAATGAAATACAGGCTCCAATGATGGGAATTCTGGATAGCATCTACTTGTCATTCACATGACTGTAAAAATGATTGTTAAAAATTAGCACTGTATAAAGATGATGGTAATAATACCTTTTAATTATCTTTCTCTTCTGATGCTTTTCCTCTAGGCCATTCCAGTACAGTTTTAACAGTGATTTCTCCAATATACCTAATGACCAATCCAAAATAACTATAAGTAACTGGTCATCTAGAAACAAAAGTACTTCAGCATTCAATGTAAGCTATAATGTCAGGGAATGAGGGGAACTTCAACATCCTGTCTTTATCTTCCACTAAATTGATTGAGAATGTTAAGTCATTATAGACTCGATACTGAACACGAGCTAGAGTATATTAATTATAACCAAACTGACATTCCATAAAATGTTCAAACAGGAGGGACAGGAGTATATATCATAAAGCAAACACAAGGGAATTTAAAATCATGTCATAATCAGATGAACAAATATTTGACTTTCTATGATGTGCGGGGCCTCTACTAGATTATGTAAACAGAAAATAAATATGCTAAATTTGACAGAATTTTTCCTTTCTAAACAACCCTACTTTGCCACTTCAGAGTTAGGCCAATGCTTGATTACCCTGATTTCCTCTTGAAATGATCTATATGTGAATGAAAATTTTGGCAAATAATTATTCAGCCAATTTATACTTTCTATTGAATGTGTCTCTAATCTCTGCCCTTCGTGTTTGAAATTGATGTAAACGACTGGCTCAACATATTTATGATTTAGAGCTTGAGACTGTGGAAGGTGTGTCTGGTAGTTCTTTCCATTTCAGGCAAGATATTACCATGTCTGTAAACTGCATCTCCCCATAATTTACCAGAGTCCAGGAATTACTAAACAGTTTATAAAGAGCCTCACACAGTCTCAGTGTCTTCTTCCCTGAACTATAACATATTCATACAATGAGCTCTTACTGCTTATTTGCACATTTATTCTCATTTTAAATAATAAATTAAAACACTTGCCACATACAAAACATGTGACATTACAGCTTACTGGACTTAAAGTAGAAATTGCTTTAAAATGAATTTTTGGAGTATATTTTTATATGGTTTACCTCGTTTTGCAGGGATGAAGGACATCAGTGTATTCATCTGTTTTTTAAAAGTATCATTGTAGGCCAGGCGCGGTGGCTCACACCTGTAATCCCAGCACTTTGGGAGGCCGAGGCAGGCGGATCACGAGGTCAGGAGATCGAGACCATCCTCACTAACACGGTGAAACCCCATCTCCACTAAAAATACAAAAAATTAGCTGGGCGTGGTGGCGAGCGTCTGTAGTCCCAGCTACTAGGGAGGCTGAGGCAGGAGAATGGCGTGAACCCGGGAGATGGAGCTTGCAATGAGCCGAGATCACGCCACTGCACTCCAGCCTGGGCACCAGAGTGAGACACTGTCTAAAAAAAAAAAAAAAAAAAAAAAAAAAAAGCATCATTGTAGCAGAATGTCTTCCAAGGGGCAGGCCTGAGGAGCCTGTGGTGATTTTTCTGTGAGTTGTGATATGGTTGAGTGGGGTACGTAAGTTGAGGGCCAGAGCTGAAATGTTGAGAACAATAGAATGATTTTTCAAGTTCATGTCTTGTGTATGGACACAGAGAGAATACTAGTTAGCAGGAAGATGAGGGACAATGAACAGACAAGAACCCAGATCTCAAAAAGGAATTTGACTAATTGGCTAATTGTTCTTTTTTGTGATGTGTGATGTGAATTTATTTTTTCTCTATTCATGAGTTTCTCAGTTATCTGTCAACTTCTTAATAATAATCTGTAGGAGTAGGTCTTTTTCAGAAAATGGAATAAAATGAGGATTATTGTGTATGATAAGCACGGAGTAAGGGTCCATGGCCAGTGCCCACCCCTGCCTTCCAATCAGTCTTTTTTATTGATCTCATATTAATATGAGATCAGGATAAGAGAGATAGAATGAAAAAGAATGTTTAAAATTGTTATGACAAGTTCGCTATTAGGAAGATAAATTGTAGTAATCAGTTTCCCTGTAGAATTCTGGCAACATTTATTTATATTATTCTTCTTCCAAAAAATGTGTATATGTGCATGTACTATATTTTCTGGTAAGGTTAATAAATATAGTATGGTGGCTAACTAAAATATAATTAAGATATAAGATAAACTGCAACTCAAAGATAATTAGATTAAAAGATATATTTAATATTAAACATATATTTTTAGAAGGAAAATGTAGTCTTTGTTTTAGAATACTTTAGGATTCTGGAGCACCCTCAAATCACCATTCTATTCACTTTCAATTACAAAAGACTGAAAAACTGTTGTGGTTTTTTTTCCCCTCAAAACTTTCTAGATTTTTTTTATTCTAGGAAAATAAGAATGATTAGAAGAAATTGGGGGAAAATAAAATTGTAAATCTAAATTTTACCTTCTCATTTGAGATTGTGCCTTCTAAATAATGACTCCCTGATTTGCTATTAAAATAAGAGGGTAAAGTTGTTCATGTTTAATGCAATGGGTAGTAGAATGTGATTGATTTGCCATAGATATAATCAGTGGCATGTGTTAATAACTTCATGGATAGTGCCAGGGAGAGTAACAAACCAAGAGAGTGGGGGTTGCCACACTTGGGCAATGGAGAGCAAATCACCTATAGTATTGCCATGTCCCATGCGCTTGCATTTGCCAACCATGGGGCATGGCTGTTAAATTGAAAATGTAAATACCAGGACATTTTTAAAGTATTTATTTCATTAAAATCTTGTAGGAAAAAAAAAGAACATCTGATTGGAGATCTAAATTTTTGGTTTAGCGCTATTCTATAGCGATTCAATATAGCAATTCGGTATCTTTATATTAGTATGGACAGAAATACACTATGTGCTTCTTCTTACTCTTTATACCAACAAAGACAACAATATTGACTCATTAATGAAGAGGTGGATGAAGCCACTGAGGAGGTAGACTTAACTTCTGTAGGTAAGCACATTTAATAGGATAGCAAGAAAGACATTTGATTGGATATGATGTTATTCCGGGCAGTGGGAACTACATTGGCAACTCAACCAATTTGATCAGTTCACTGGGAGCAATATTATAGAATCTACTATACAGAGTCTGACAGCATAAGGCCAAGTGGAGGATAATAATGTAGGCTTTACTTGGGACAAGATTAATATCTTGTTGGAGAAATCAAGACAATGAAGGATTAGGGTGGTAGAAATAAAGTGAGTGATACGCTCTTTATGATTCAGATGAGAGACAACTTGGTAGGACTGTAGGAATCAGAAAAGGATTCATGGAGGAAATGAGATTTGAGCATATTACTGCAGGTCTGGTGATATTGCAACAGATAACAAAGTGCATTTGAAATAGTGTGCCCATTGAGAGTGAAGCCACAGAAGTGTTTTAATGTAAAATGTGTGCTCCAATGATCTGAATTCATCACCTAATTATAGAGTCTTTTGCTCTTATGTTAGTATCCAGTGGCAAAATGATTTGAGAGTTGTGGTCATTGCTACCCATGGCAGGAGGAGACAGTCTCTGTTTTTGAAGTGGTTGTGTTGCCACTCATACAGCCCATCTGAGCAGCGCATCCCAGACAGACGTGAAATTGTGGAGTATAGGTTTGGGGCTTGGTTCAGCGATCAAGGACAGCACAGAGATAGGCAGATATGAGGTCTTAGACTGGGAACTGTCCCACACAAGAGCCTAGACAGAATAGTGGTATTGATCCCAATCTGTGACAATTGGGATCTGTCTGGATTTTCACTAGATTTTCTATGGGCATATAAGTATTTCAAGGTTTTGTAACGAGAATAAAGTGCACTAGTATTTCAGATACTCATTGCTTAGGGACAGTGACTTTTGCAAGGTATTTAGCTAATTTGACTTTCAGATGTTTATCTCTTAAATGAGAATAATAACAATGTATATTTATTAAGGAAACTCCATTAACCGCTTAATACAGTAGTTAAAAACACAGACCTGGGAGCTAGTCTCTGCTTTGAATTTCGGTTCTATTGCTTACTAAATGTATGATATGGGCAATTTATTTAACCTGTCTGTATCATTTTACGCATCTATAACATAGGAGAAATAATGGTACAACTCATATGGTTGTCTTCAGGATTGAATGAATTAATATGTTTGCAACACATTCCAGCTATACTGGAATGAATTTTATTTTAAGTAAAAATCATGAGTGCTTATGCACACACTCAAGTACTTAATAATTGGTAATTATTGCTATTCTAATGATTATTTCTGTGAATAAAGAAGGTAATATTAATACAACATCTGGCAAATAGTAATGTTCAATAAGAGTTATCTCTGGTACCCTAGGGTACCTTTAAGCTCAGATACTCTTGGATTCCACAGTCTCAGATATTTATTTGCAAACAATAACAAATTATGATTCTTAGAAAAATGAATTCACTACACCAGTTTTCTTTCCTAGAATCTTAATATGCCTTGAAGACATATGATAAATCATAGAGAGATCAAAAATCAAAATAAATTAACAAAGCCTTCTACAAACTACAAGCAGTATCCCATTTTAAGGGCCAAAATGAAATGAAACAAAACCAAAACAAAACCTAAGGTATAAATAAATTACTAAATGTACTGAGACAACTATTGGAGAATTTATGGGATCCACCCAGAATTCCAGCGGACTCTGAGATGCCCAGAGTAAACCCAGGCGTTGACTAAAATAATAATACCACAGAAACAGTAAGGGGATCAGGGTAGCTTCGAATATGGACTTACCCCTTCCTCATCTGCTGCTTTTACCTGCTGCACTTTCATTAGGTTTCAGATGTGAAAATCAAGGATTGGAAATGGAAGTCTTATTGCCAAGATTATATAATTTGTCTACAATTTGGATCTATGCCCCTCAAGATATGCATCACTTCCCACAGAACAAGGCTGTGCCTCCCATCAATCTAGTTCTTTCGGTTTATTCCATAAGGCTCTTCTATAGCTTGGGTTGGACATGAGTTCTGTAAGCTTACCTTATTGGAATTTCTCCAACCCTTTTCCTCCAAAAGTAATATTAGATTTGATTTGTGATTTCTCAGGTGGAAGTTCATTCTGCTTGTGTATTTACAATTGTAGAATCCAAACTGACTCTGGATCTCTGTAGATGGTAACTACATTGCAATCTTGAGTTCATGGAGTTGCTGTGAAATGAAAGGATTACAATGTCAAATTACTCTTCCAAGGTTTTGTTTGATTTTTTTTTTAAAACCAGGACACCGTTCCTTACACAACTTAGAAGGCTTTTCTTTTCTGATATGTAAAATGAAAAAGAAAAAGTTTATTTAAAATTTAATGAGTAAAGCATTGGGGATACATTAATTAGGGCCACAACCAGTAGGATATCTATCTATCTATCTTTCTGCCAGTCTATCTATCTATCTATCTATCTATCTATCTATCTATCTATCTATCATCATCATCATCACCTATCTATCATCTATCAGTCTAGAGATTTATTTCAAACAATTGGCTCACATAATTATGGAGGCCAACAAGTCAAAAATCTGCAGGATAGTCTGGCAGCTTGGAGACCCAGGGAAGAGTTCAAGTTTGAAGGCAGTCTCCTTGCAGAGTTTCTTCTTGCTGAAGGGTGGTCAGTTTTCTTCTACTAAGGTCTTCAACTGTTGAATCAGGCCCATCCACACAATTGAGGTTAATATGCTTTCCTCAAAATCCATTGATTTAAATGTTAATCTCATCTAAAAAATAGCTTCATGGAAATATCTAGAATAATATTTGGCCAAATATTTGGATACCATCATTTAACCGTGTTAACATATAAAATTAACCATCATGAGTCCATTTTTGTAAACCTGGCACTCATATACATCTTAAACCAAAATTAATCTCCAATTAAAGACAATAACAAGGCAATACTTTTGCTTAACATGATTAATACTACTATCCTGTGTACAACTAAAAATGCACTAACCCTTCCCCTAAAAGAGGATGCAAAATCCTTGAAAGTCTTTTTGATGATTATTCTTCTCAATGTCCTCTAACTTAACTACTATGATGTAAAGTTAACATTACTTAAGTACTATAATATAAAGTCAATACATCTCATGTTATATGGTAAGGGGAAAAGAGAGGGAAGAAAACAGATATTTGAGATACCCACATGCACACACTTGAACATATTCATAACAAAATAACAAAGAAAAATACACATGACACAGTTCCCATTTCTGTACTGGTTACATCGCTGTAACTCTTATTTCATTACCATTTACATATTCTCTTTGCCATCAGCAAGTACCTCAATAGGTTACAGTTATTTATCTGGTAAGGGTCACCTTACCTTTATTTTTGAGGGATCTAGGCCTTTAGTAGTCCTGCCCAAATTGAGTTGTTATAGTTTTATATTGAATTTAATCACAGGACATGGCAATAATAAGGGATGCCTTAAGGATCTTCTATATTTCAGACATATTCTTCCTTATTTCCATTGTAGAGTACCAGGTCAATTTCTCTTTGGTAGTCAGTATCAATTATCCCAGCCAGCACTGTAACTTCCTTCCCTGCTTGTTGATTCAGAGGCATGAAGAGCCCAAAGTCATCAGGTGAATTTTAACTTCCACATCAGTGGAATTTGTGTTGTGTCTTCTGCTAGAAGCATTCCTCTCTTTGGAACTAAGACTTCTGAACAAGCAGAGCGTAAGGTCATGGGAGCAGGAAGCAAAATTGTGCTAATGGGTCATCAGTTGTAATAGTAAATAGAGCCATTTCCATTTTCACCACTTGAATTGTGGACCCATGAATTCTAGCTATGGAAGAAATAGTACCATATTTTGGATATCGATTCAAAGTATATGTAGACTCCTGGAGAACTTTGCTACAGCTCTGCAAGGTACTGTCTCATAGCTGACACTGTAACCGAGTCTTCAAAAGGTCATTCCACTGTTCTGTCAAACCAGCAGCAACAGGATGGTTGGGGATATGATAAGGCCCATGAATTCCATGATCATGCTATAGCTCTGCAAGGTACTGTCTCATAGCTGACACTGTAACCGAGTCTTCAAAAGGTCATTCCACTCTTCTGTCAAACCAGCAGCATCAGGATGGTTGGGGATATGATAAGGCCTATGAATTCCATGATTGTGGTCTCATTGCCACACTTTGTTTACTATGAAGTAATTTTCTTGATGAGAAGGAGTGCTGTGTGGAATGCTATGGCAGGGCATAAGGCATTCTGTAAGTTTATAGATAGTAGGTAGTGTTGGCAGAAACATCGTGTGCAGAAAAGGCAAATCAATATCCAGAGTAAGTAACTATTCTAGTAAGAACATAGCACTACCCCCCTTCCATGATGGAAGCAGTCCAATGTAATCAACCTGCCACCAGGTAGCTGGCTGATCACCCTGAGGAATGGTGCCATATTGAGAACTCAGTGTTGGTCTTTGCTGCTGGCACATTGGGCACTCAGCAGTGGCTATAAGTAGGTCAGCCTTGGAGAGGGAAGTTCGTGTTTCTGAGCCAATGCATAACCTACGTCCCTGCTACAATGTCCACTTTGCTTATGAATACATTGGGCAATAAGAGTGGCTGCAAAAATGAGGCTGACTGGTATCCACAGAACATGCCATCCTATCTATGTGATTATTAAAGTCCCTCCTCTCCTGACATCTCTCTTTGGTTAGCATTCACATGGCACACAAATATCTTCATGATTTTCACCCATTCAGAGATGTCTATCCACATACCTCATCCCCAAACTTCCTTGAACCAATTTTCCAATCAGATTTCTTCCAAGTCCTTGACCATCCAGAGAAACCATCATTGGCCACAGCCCATAAATTGGTATATATTTGCATTTCTCCTTCCAAACAAAGTGAACAACTAGATGCACTACTCGGGGTTCTGCTGCCTGAGAGGATTTTCCTTCACCATTATCCTTCAGGTATGTGCTAGAAAAGGACTGTAGTGCTGTGGCTGTCTATTGTATGTGCCTGTATATTATGCACAACCATCTGTAAACCAGACCCAAGTTTGTCAACTGACAGTGGAGTACTCCACATGAGGCCATAGGTGCAGGTTGTAAGAGATGTAGTAATATAGCATAGTGGGGACCATGGGCATTTGGGACACATCTTCATGTAACTTGTGCATTTAGGGCCCTCTTGGGCCTGATCACATATATACCACTTCTTGGTTTGATGAAGGAATGCTGTTGTGTACAGCCAACTTTATGCCTTGGTGGTAGGACAGGTAACGGCCAGTTCATGAGGAGCAGCTCAGTTTGCAGAAGAACTTGGTGTGCCATGGTTAGGCTTTTAGCTCAGTAGTAGACCAAAAGCAGTTTCTCAAAAGGAAAGTAGTTATCTGCAGAGAGTGGCAGGGCTTTGGTCTGAAATTCTGAGTATGCACTATGGTTGTCCTGTATGGTCCTGTCAAAGATTTTAAGTAGAATCCCTATCTGTCACCAACAATTTAAACACCATTGAATCTGCTGGATCATATGACCCCAGTGGCAGGGCACCTATATGGCAGCCTAGACCTGTTGCAGAGCCTTCTCTTGTTAGCAGCTTTTTGGGTCATTCTGTTACTAGGCTGGGGTAGCAAACCAGAATAAGAAATGTATTGCCTCCCAAATCCAAAGAAACTCATTAAGCAGAGATTCTGAATTTAATGCTGTAGCTCAGGGATTGAGAAAGGGCTGTATCAGTTTGGTTGGTTGGTTGGTTGGTTGGTTGGCTGGAACATGGATCAGAAGCTGGCCCACAGTAATTTAACTTGAAATGCTAGAACTGCTTTCCTGTACTGCAGAATAAGAGATTCCAAGGTTTAGGGAGACTGGAATGTTAGATTGAATGTGTCATTTAAGATCTGCTCACTTACACTGGGATGACCCAGAGGGCACACTTTTCATCCTAAGTGTAAAAAACAAGTTTATGAGGGGCACCCCTGCATCCTTGAAGAGCTTTGTGATTGCTTTTGTCTGCCGGAAAATACAGTGGGAACTGCTACCACTGAATAAGGAAACTTAAATGTAATGGGAGTAATTGAATCCTGGGGTGGCAGGGGCTGGCCAAGTGGCAGCCCTCAGTCGCCCAAGATAAGATGGGTGTTGTTACCATGATGGAAAGCAGAGTCAAAGCGGCAATCAGAATAGTTGAATATGGGCAGTCCTATGGCATTGGCTAGTTGATGATAGAGTTCCTAGAAGTTAAATGGATGGGAATGCTACTAATTCTTACTTGATCTGTGTAAGTCAAAGAGTTCTAGATCAAGTGAACAAAATTCTAACCCCAAATCATGGCCTTTTACTGGGTGACTGTGTTTTAGGGAAAAGGAAATAATCAGAACCTTTGGGGACTATTAGACATTGACTCTAAACTGCTATTAATTCCAGAAGATACAAGCATGTCACTGTGGTTGACTAGTCAGAGTAGGGCTGATGGAAGTCATATGATTAATGGGTCCAGTGGGTCCCCAAATCTATCCTGTAGTTTTTTACCCAGTTCCAGAATATATAATTAGAATAGACATACTCAGCAACTAGCAAAATTCCTAAATTAGAATAAGATACTCTTTTTAATCCTCAAAGAACCCATAAGCTAAAAGAATGAGACAGTTATTTTTCTATCTATCTATAATGGAATATACAATATTTTTAAAAGTTTTCAATTCTCAGTTTTTAAATTAAATGTCCTAGAAGTTGTTTATATTGCTTTTTGAAACAAGAAGAAACATTATGTGCAATTTATCAATATTCTTGTCAGATTGACCTTTCATCATTTTAATTTCGTCTAGTTAATGAAGGAGACCTCCAGAATTTTAATTGTGATACAATATAAAAGACATTTGATGGAGAAATAATTAAATAATTCTCTTTAAAATTATTTAATGACAAAGATTGACTGTCTTCACTGACAATTGTATAGATTTGTTGATTCTCAATTTCTTAGGTATTTCGTGTCTTTTTGTTGGGTCTTAATTTTATCATTGCCATTTTTCAGTTCTGTAATTAGTTTAGCTGGTATTTTTCTTCAACTGAATAGTTAAATATGATTTAAACTTTATGTGATTAAGTCTAATAGATTGCATTTCCTGCTGCCTTCATTTGATTGGCAGCATAAGAAAATAGAAGCAAATACAGTTGATGAAAGAATTCAAACAATCATTTCATGTCCTGAAAAAAATATCCAAAATCTTCTTACATTCTCATTTCTGGGCAATAGTTCTGTCAAGAACTTAAAATTCACATCTAAATTTATTCACATTCTTTTAAAACCCAATTAATCAGCAGCATAATTTATACTTATGCCTTGACAAAGTCTCATATAATTATTCCTTTAAAGATAACTCTTTACTCACAGTTAACCAGTACATATAATGAATGTAGGGTTTTGTTGTTGTTGCTATCAGAACACACCTGGATACCTTATTAGCTCTAGTTTTGCAACATTATCACAAGTAACTAATTTTCTTTGTACAAAAAAGGAGTTTCACTGAGGAGCCATCTTTCAAGACTGAAATTCTGTGTCTCACATGTTCACACAATCATGCATTCAGGTCTATAGCAGACAGAATATGTGTGTCTAGATGGAGCATTTTTAATGAAATGTGCAACATTCTTTGCAGCAGATTTATTTGGCTGTCAAAACCTCAAATACAACTAGCCAGAACAGAATTTCCAAAAACCAGGGTGTAGAAATTGAAATCTTTGCTGCCCAAGAAATGTCAGTTGTCTAGTAATTTGCTTGCATTTACACGGGAGGTTGCCAGGATCATGCTGCAGTTTGCCTTGTAAAGGTAGAGCTCCCACCACTATGATAAAAAACATAAAAATATTTGAAATGGCAGCTTTTTCCTGAATTTTCTTTTTCATGGTTATACAGTTTTATGTTGTGTTTCTAAAGGATACCCCCAAAAATAGACCTGACAGCTTGCACCAAGTGCAGCCAGAGAAAAAAAATCTTTGAACCTAGACTGTGCATTGAGTGCCATCTGAAACAGACCAGAATTCAGAAGACATGTGGAGTACCTTTAAATTGTCTGACTCCATGCTGTCTCTTAGGCTGCTGATGAATCATGATTGGCCTTGATTTGCCCCTGATTGGAAAATTTATTGCACAGGTATCCATCAATATGGATATAGTTGTGTACTCTGCTGAGCTCTCTTTTTCTTCTAGAAAACATTTCCTTCAGCAATTGAAGTAAACCTTCAGATAAATTATCATTAGCATCTTTTGAACCTCCAAAAGTACTGATGTGTTATATTGTCTTACTCTTTTAGGAATTGGATGAGAGGAAGGAAGAAAATGAAAAGTGTGAATTTTACTGTTTTTCTCCCCCCTGCCCCATTCCTGTAGAGGAAAGAGCATGGACATTAAAATTGGGAGACATTATGGAATGATAAGTAAAAAGCTTGGAGTTCTGGTGTCAAACACTCTCAGTTTGAACTGCCGTTCAGCCACTTATGATTTGTGTGATTAGGCAAGCTCCTTAACAACTCCAAAATTTTGTTTTCTCATCTTTTTTTTTTTTTTTTTTTTTGAGACGGACTTTTGTTCTTGTCACCCAGGCTGGAGTGCAATGGCAGGATCTTGGCTCACTGCAACCTCCATCTCTGGGGTTCAAGCGATTCTCCTGCTTCAGCCTCCAGAGTAGCTGGGATTACAGGTGTGCGCCACCATGCCCAGCTAATTTTTGTATTATTAGTAGAGACAGGGTTTTACCATGTTCACCAGTCTGGTCTTGAATGCCTATCCGCAAGCCATCCACCCGCCTCAGTCTCCCAAAGTGCTGGGATTACATGCTTACATAAGCCACCGCGCCTGGCCTGTTTTCTCATCTTTTAAGTGAGTAAAATATTAGGACCTCTTTTGAAGAGTTATGAGGAAGATTTAATGAGCCAATCCAGGTAAGTTGCTTAGCACAGTGCTCGTCATGTCATAAACCCATGTGAGTAGCTATTTATGCTGCTTGAATCCTAGTTCTAGCAATTACTAGCTGGTGGCATTACCTGAAGTATTTACTAAAGTATTTACCTAAAGTATTTACTCTCTTAAACTTGGTTCCTCGTCTTTAAAATTAAAATAATGATACCCGACCTGGAGAACTATTTTGAGAATTAAAACGGATATAAAGTGCCAAGTGTTTGACATTTAGGAGCTGATCAGTACAGTCCACCCTCCATATTCAAGGGTTCCACAGCGCCTACAGGTCTCAAGCATCCCAGGATTTTGGTATCCCAAGGAGGTCCCGGAACCAATTTCCTGTGAATACAGAGAGCCAGCTGTAAACACAAGTTTACTCCCCTCTTCGCTGCTGCTTGAGTAACAAAAAATAGCAAAACAACAGGCAACAACTATTATTAAATGTTTCCTAGTGTCCATCAAGATATATCCTAAAGACTGCCATCCACTGTTGTGTTTTTTAGTAAAATGATGCCATGAATTCATGGCGTGGATTCACAATTCTGTCGAATTGCCCAGTTGCTATTGCTTTGTGTTAAGTAATTTGTTGTAGCTTCTGCTTTGGACTCATGTAGAATGGTTTCTGTTATATTATTTCTTATTTGCCATTGTGAAGAAATCAGTTGTTTTCTCTTTGCTCTCTAGCTTCTGTTAGAAAAAGTAAGATCTAATACTTGACTGAGGTTATGTGCCTTTTGGGAGTTTCTTAGGTGAACTTTCTACCTCTACACAGGGAATTATTTAGTAGATCTTGGAGAGTTTCAGAGAGAATGTCAGTATTACACTTCATTGTCTGCCACACAGCAGGAAAAAATGTGGCCTCCACACCAGGTGTTTAAGTACAATGTACAATAGAAAGGTTCCATTTTTTAGTGCTGCCTGGGTCTTGGCAGCTCTTCACATAGGAAAACTATTAAATACTTATGCATAAGTCATTTCTTTCAAGATTTTCAAGTAATAGTTTTAGGAAAACATTACTTTTCCGTTTCTTGGCAGTAGTTCTGTCAGGGACTTTGAATGCAAGTCCAAATTTATATCAGATTCTTTCTTTTTTTTTTTTCCTTTTTTTTTATTATACTTTAAGTTCTAGGGTACATGTGCACATTGTGCAGGTTAGTTACATATGTATACATGTGCCCATGCTGGTGCGCTGCACCCACTAACTCGTCATCTAGCGTTAGGTATATCACCTAATGCTATCCCTCCCCCCTCCCCCCACCCCACAACAGTCCCCAGAGTGTGATATTCCCCTTCCTGTGTCCATGTGATCTCATTGTTCAATTCCCACCTATGAGTGAGAATATGTGGTGTTTGGTTTTTTGTTCTTGTGATAGTTTACTGACAATGATGATTTCCAATTTCATCCATGTCCCTACAAAGGACATGAACTCATCATTTTTTATGGCTGCATAGTATTCCATGGTGTATGTGTGCCACATTTTCTTAATCCAGTCTATCATTGTTGGACATTTGGGTTGGTTCCAAGTCTTTGCTATTGTGAATAATGCCGCAATAAACATACGTGTGCATGTGTCTTTATAGCAGCATGATTTATAGTCCTTTGGGTATATACCCAGTAATGGGATGGCTGCATCAAATGGTATTTCCAGTTCTAGATCCCTGAGGAATCGCCACACTGACTTCCACAATGGTTGAACTAGTTTACAGTCCCACGAACAGTGTAAAAGTGTTCCTATTTCTCCACATCCTCTCCAGCACCTGTTGTTTCCTGACTTTTTAATGATTGCCATTCTAACTGGTGTGAGGTGGTATCTCATTGTGGTTTTGATTTGCATTTCTCTGATGGCCAGTGATGATGAGCATTTTTTCATGTGTTTTTTGGCTGCATAAATGTCTTCTTTTGAGAAGTGTCTGTTCATGTCCTTCGCCCACTTTTTGATGGATCTTTCCAGATTCTTTCAAAAAACCCAATTAACCAACAGCATTATGTGTTAAAAGAAGCACATCCTGATGATTGATTTCTTTGTAGTCGCCATCCTTCTCTAGAACTCTGGGCTATCTGTAAGGATGGAAAACAATGGGTTGATTTAATGTATCTGGGCACTTAAAACAGAACTTTAATCAGAATGTCGAGAATTGACATTAGAAAGGATGCTGCCATTTATTTGCTCATTTTCCAAGAGTGGAAAATCTACTGCAGTAATTTGAGTAAGTTTCAATGAAGTATGGAGGGGTACTGGATTTCATAACCTCCTCGTTGGGTCAGGGTACCAATTTGCCAGAACAATTTATTTTAAAATAACTTTATATTTGTGTTATATTGTTTTGACAAAAGAAGATAGAATTTTAGATGACTAACTTTCCCAGCCTTTGCTCTCTTCATTTTTAAATCTGGAGAAGCAAAATAAAGTGAATACAATTTTGTAATCTGGATTATTAAGGTGTATTCTGAAGATTTTGTTTATATTTTTAAATACAGTGCATCAGTTGCTATTCTTATAAATTTGCTTCAAAATGGAGATTATTAATTGACTATAAAATGTGAGTTCTTTAAAGGGAAATGTGATATATTGGTTATAATATTCTGTTCAGAGTTGGCAAACCAGGTCTTTACCATTTTGTAAATTTAGCAAAGCAGTTTAATCCTTCTGAGATCCTGTAGGTTTTTCTTACAAATGAGATGATTTAAATAGATGGCTTATATGTCTCCTTAAATTCCAAAATCCTAAAAATATTTTTGTCTCTTTGAATGTATAACTTTATATCACTTAAAGATTTTAAATATGAATGAGTGATGTGTCATAACTTTGCAAATTGTGTTTTTATTTCTGCATCCTTTCTTTATCATGTTCACTGTGGCCTTGAGGTAGTCACTTTCCTTCCCTAGGTTTGCACAGTCTAAATGTGAAAAGGAGAAAATTTCACAGTATGATCTCTGAAGATCCTCCCAGTTCTAATGTTTTCTGTTTCTAGCGTATGTTTATTGACATTATATAAAGTATAAAGTGTACATTTCTCAGTATAGTAGAAGATACATGAAAGTTAAAAAAAGCCATGCCATCTACTCTAGAGAAAGTTTTTGACTTCCATTGAATGAGATTCAGGGGTTTTAGGAAACCACTTAAATTAGGCATAAAAGTATGTATGTATGTGTTTTTTTTTTTTTTTTTTTTTTTTGAGGAAAGAACCCGTAGCTTTCCTAAGAATTTTAAATACTACATAGTGGATAACATAGTAACTTCTGTTGTCAAAGGTCTAGTGCAGTAATTCTTAAAATGTGATCATTAATGAGGTGTGGACCTCTGAGATTCTTTTAGCTGGTTCAAGAAATGAATCTATTTTTGTAGTAACACTGAGATGATATTTCTCTTTTCATCTTCTTTTGCTAATAAATGTACAGTAAACTTTTCTAGAAGCTCTACGATGACTATCATAGCAGACTAAATCCAGAAGCAGATATGAGAATGTAAGTATTTTCTAATAACCGAAATATTAAAGGTATTTGCAAAAATGTAAAGCAATGCCAATCTTCACAATTTTTTTTATTTTGGAAAATTTACATTTTTTTCAAAAACAATATTTATGTTAACATGTACTAACTTTATATCTTAAAATGAATAAATATGTTAATAATTTCTCAGTTTAAATTCTAATAAGGTAAATATCAAGATAAAACCCATATTAACAAAAGTTCTTAGAAATCTTTGATAATTTTTGAAAGTGTCAATAGGTCCTAAGACTAAAATGTTTGATAAATGCTGGTCTACTGCATTCAATAAGGTAGGATAACCTGTAGTATTAAATAGAGCCTGCCTTGTTGTTAACTTTCCACACAAAGATTTATTTCTCTCTCATTTAATTGTCTAAGTGGATGTTCAGGTTGGCTATCTTCAATGCATGACTTTCACATTTGCCTTAGAAGATACTAACCTCCCAGTACTCTAGAAAAAGGAAAGGAGTACCAAGGAGCAAAAGTGTGGCATTTTTATTAGCTTGGCCCAGAAATCTCTTTCATTATATTCACTAACATCCCATCAACTAGAACTGGGTTTTATGGCCAAATCCAATGGAATTGAAGACTGGGAAATACAGCTCAACTATATGTCCAAAAAGAAACAAAAAAAAATTGGGGGGATTACCTAGCAGTCTCCACTATACCTCACTTTTAATGTAGGTTTGCTGTCTACTAGCTAGGTAAACATAGATGCCTTACATAGCTGTTAATTTTTAGTTTCCTTCTATGTAAATGGGTGCAATAAACTTATAACTTTAGAAGATTTTTGTGAGGGAGCTTGTACAAAAGTCCCTAAAGAGTAGATAGGTATAAATTTGCCAAATAATTATGAAAAAGATTTTTTAAAACGTCTGTGACCCGAAGAGTGTTAAATCAGTCTGCTGGAAGAACGTACCGTTTAGAAATAGATACAAAACTTGTCATAAATATAACCTCAGTATAAGATTATTTTTGTGTTATGTACAATTATGCAAACTCTTTTGGGGCATCCAGAGGGATGGAATAGTTTTTAATGCTTTCATGGAAGCATTTGAGTTGGAAATTCTTGAAGAGTGTTCCCAAAATATTTAGCTGACATTACTTTACGCTGGACCTCCATCTCCTGCTCCAGATACCCTTCTTGTGGCACCTATATGAGTCTAATGTAATGGTGAATTTTCTTATCTGCTTCCCTCATAAGTTTGTAGCTCCTATTACTTCCATTGGAATAGAGTTCCTACATGGTTCTACTTTGTATGTCTTGCACTGAAGTGTGACTCATTATAAACCCTGGGACAGATATTTATTGAAAGGATTCTATTTACTTTCAATAAGAGCAATTGCATGAAAGGCAAAGAGGAGGTTATTATAAAGATGGAAGTTGGCCAGCCACAATGGCCCATGCCTGTAATCCCAGCAATTTGTGAGGCCAAGCCGGGTGGATCACTTGGGGTCAGGAGTTCGAGAACAGCCTGGGCAACATGGTGAAACCCCCAAAACAAAAAAAACAAGTGAAAAATACAAAAATTAGCCAGGCATGGTGGCTCGCACCTGTAATCTCAGGTACTCAGGAGGCTGAGGAAGGAGGATCCCTTGAACCCGGGAGGCAGAGGTTGCAGTGAGCTGAGATCACACCATTGCACTCCAGCCTGGGCAACAAGAGCGAAACTCTGTCTCTGACAAAAGACTATTTTTGAAGTCGAAAGTGTAGGGTGGTAGAAAACTAAAGTGTAACAATAATGCTGAACATCAAAAAGCATGGAATCTATTATGTTAGAAGATCATCACTGTGAAAGTTGACATAAGCAACCAGGGATATAAAAAAGGAAAAAAAGGTAAAATTGTACATGTCCTCAAATAATTAAAAGCTGAGGGAGTTTCCTTGTGATAGCACAAAGATGTAGAAAGCCTGATAAAAGATGGCATAATTCTTAATGGATGGGAAGTTAGAGCAAGGGTGATGGAATAGTGGCTTGAATGTGGCACCCAAATATTTGTTGAATGAATAGATGGTGGGTAATGTATAAATGATGGAACACCAAATCTCATTTTATTTCATAACCCTCAAGGAAAATGGAGTCAGAGGAAAATCAATTTTCACTTAAGATGAACAGATTGGTAGACTAAAGACTCAAGAGTTAGAAACTTTGGAGGGTCTTATTCTAAATAAAGCATAGATGCCATTGAGCACAATTGGTCCAGAATATGGGCACATAAAGATAGAATTGAATTGAGGAAAGGCAGGCCTGACCCAGATTGAGGAGGTGTTTTGAGAGGACATAGCAGAGGGTTTTTATACCGTGGAGTTGCAGAAACTATTAGAGATGTCCATATTAGGAGGATAGAAATACATTTTTTGAAGTGTTTATAGCATTAACTCCATCCACCTTTCCAACTGGAATATAGGTATAATGTCTAAGTTTATATCTTCATTGCTAAGTTACTATTGATTTACCTCATATCTAAGAAGAAAATAATTTATTTGCAAATTGCCTGTCCAATAGGTCATCTTTAGCTAATGTTTACATAACTACCATTTTTAGTAAAATTTTACTATTTGAATAAATGGAAAACTAGAAAATGTCATTAATTAAAATAAAAGCATGGCTTATATTACTATCTTTTTTTCTCTTAAGTACATTCATTCAAACCACATATACTCATTGAGTGTTTATTATGAAGCATGTTTTATAGTAGGTTTTGGAGATAGGAAGATAAATATGACAAAGTTCATGCCTTCAAGAATCTCATGTGTTGATAGGAGAAATAAACATGTAACAAATTCATATATAACTTGTGAGCAACAAGAGAAGCAATAATAAGATACAGAGGTAGTACATTTTCCTTACCGAATATAGTGAGGAAGCGTCACAGAATAACACTATGTAGAAAGTAGCCAGGTGAACTAGAGAGCGATGACATTTCGGAAGGTGCAAGGGGCGTGTGAAAGTAAATGGGAATGGGAAGTACCATATGGTGTTCAAGACACAACATGGGATTTGTTATTTCTGAAAAGTAGGTGTGAGGAGAGTAGCAAAACATGTTACTCAATACATTAGGCAAAAAACAGAAACATCTTTCATGCTATGCAAAGGAGTTTGGGCTCTTTCTTGCGGGCGTCTAGAGGCTATTAAGGAAACAACTGTTCATTGGATGAAGAGGGCATCATTGAAGGATTTTAAACAGGAAAGTTTCATGGCCATATCTGTTAGTGTGTTTGTTTTCAATCATCGTATCTGCAGCGAAGAGAGGTTTGAGAAAAGCACTAAGGAATTGATGGCAATAAGCCTAACACTTGATGCTGGAAACTAAACCAGCAGGGTCCGGGGAAAGAGAAAAAAGCAGAGTAAGTAATCAATATAATTTATGAAGACTTAGATAATATGAACATGAGTATGGTGATGATAGAGAAGAAAATGGGATTCTGAAGGATTTTTCTTTTTTTTTTTTTTGATGGAATCTCCCTCTGTTGCCAGGCTGGAGTTCAGTGGCAGGATCTCAGCTCACTGCAACCTCCACCTTCCAGGTCCAAGCGATTCTTCTGCCTCCACAGTAGCTAGGATGACAGGCATGTGCCACCAGGCCCAGCTAATTTTTGTATTTTTAGTAGAGATGGGGTTTTACCATGTTGGGCAGGATGGTCTCAATCTCTTGACCTCGTGATCCACCCACCTTGGCCTCCCAAAGTGCTGGGATTACAGGCATGAGCCACCGCGCTGAAGGCTTTTTTAAAGTAAATATGTTGGCCGGGTATGGTGGCTCACACCTGTAATCCCAGTATTTTGGGAGGCCAAGGTGGAAGGATCACTTGAGCCCAGGAGTTTGAGAACAGCCTGGGAAACATAGCTAGACCTCGTCTCTACAAAAAGTCAAAAAAAAAAAAAAAAAAATTAGCCAGCTGTGGTGGTCCATGCCTATGGTCTCAGCTAGTAGAGAGGATTAGGTGGGAGGATCATTTGAGACCAGGAGGTTAAGCCTACAGTGAGCCATGATTGCACCACTGCACTCCAGCCTGGATGACAGAGCAAGACCCTGTCTCAAAAAAAAAAAAAAAAAAAGAAAGAAAAAGAAAAGGAAATATGGTTTTCTGACATCAAGACATTACTAATTTTCATGTAGAAATCGCCCAAGAATAGAGCGTACACTGTGCCGAACTAAACAGGTATGTTGTTCTCTTGATGTTTCTAGTCAAAAAGAATCTAAATTCCCTATAGGTATCAGGTTGTTTCTGAATTTGAAGAACATTTTTTAAAACTTAGCTTCGTGATGGTGACATCATGCAGTTTTATTTCTATTTACATACAGTTTTAATATCTCATAAAGGGACACTGTAGCATTTTTCACACATTATGATATGATAGCAAATCCTTCAGCTACTGTTCTTTATTTAGTCTAAGAACACTAGCAGTGAATTGGACTCTAACAGGGCATCAAATAGGGGCATTTCACATGAAAGCGCCTACAGCTGACAGCCTTCTTGTTGCTTTGAGAGTAGTTAGTATTATTGCTTCCTTAAGGAGCCATGAAACTAGGCAAGCTAATTCCCCCAGATAATTTTCTTGTACATTAGCTTCAGTGATGCAATACAATCAGTTACATCTGATGAAGCTGATCATTGATTTATTATTCTTTTGGGGTGCTTAAACTCTCAAGTATCATTGTGATAACTATTGACACAATATGTCTTCTTTTAAAATAGATTTTCTATTTCAGGCCCAAGCTTTTCTTTTGCACTGCTTTGCAAACCTTTTCTTTTGCATTGCTTTGCACTGCTTTGCAAACCCTCCTGCTAAGTCCCAACCATCTGTCAGCCTACCTCTCGTGGCTTGCTAAGTTTTCTGACCTGTGACCCACCCAACACCTTGGAGGGGTGTGGAGAAAATGCAATTTTATTATCTCAGGTTAATGAGAACTCTACCTTTAAATGTATATACTTTTGTACTTCAGATTTTCCACAAAACCACATATTTGTGAAATTCTTATATAATTAAAAAGCTAATGTGCCATTTTAAATAAGATAATTTATGGGAAAGGTGTATAAACTTGCAAGTGCTAATCAAATGTAAATGGGTATAATTTATTATGGTATTAAGTTCAATAGTGATTGGTTAAATATAGCAAAATTTCTATTTACCTAAATATGTTTCACTTGTGTGACTCATTATTATTGGTAGGGAGATACTTGTTTTTTTTCTAGTGCCGTTAAAAGTACAGACAACATAGGATCACATTGAATAATAGTAAAAAAGATAAATATAACTGTGGTTAGCATTAAAAAGGACATAAAATGCCAGAACTTTTCAAAGTGACATTTCTCTAAATGAAATGAAATGTTTTCAATGGGAATTTAAGCCAAGGATCTGCAGAGACCGTCTTGCTCTCAGCCACTTTACTGTACTGCCACTAGTATTGAGTGCCTGGGATCATCACGGCTCATTTTTAATTTGTATATCAAGCATATGTCAAGTACCAGCATGTGCTAGGACTTACACACCTTGAGGATAACAGCCGGCCTTGCTTCTGAAGAGCCAGTAGTTTAGCACAAGAGATATAGTCAGGCAAAATGAAGATTGCAACTCGGCAGGATTGAGGTATGCATGGGGTATTGGGTAATCACAGTGAAGGAACATACCTACTCTCAGCTCATTAAATCATGTTTAATAGTCAGAATTTAGAATTTTGGAGGAGGTAAAGAAGCAGGTTGAAAGGAAGTAAAATATCCATTGGGGAAATATCTTTTTCTAAAAAAGCACAAAAGAACCATGAATTCTATAATGAATTTGAAATGAGGTAAAGTAAGCAATACTTACAGAGGAATCCAGGCTCATGTAACTTATAATAAACCAATATATAGCATTATTATGTAAAATATATCTATTTTGGGTAGAAAAGCTCAGCCCAGGTCTGTTAAACAAGCATTACTGCATACATATTACCTCCCTTTGGATCTTTAAAAGTTGAGTAAATTCCATTCGTTGCATAATTTGGAAATCTTTTCCTCCCAAGAATCATTTACACTCAACTTTCATAATATAACCGCACCATTCCTACATCATTCTCATGTTCTGAAAAAGTTTTATTAATGACCGACACTTATTAGACTCAGTGACAATCCAAGCAAGCAAATTATCTGGTGCTTACAAGCTCAGGGGCAAAATTAAATCAGCTTCAGTGTGAAAAGATCAACATCCAGGAGGCCTTAAGTAAATTTCAGAAACCACAATTCTTTTTATATTATGTTTTGGCAAGTTCTTCATGGAAAATTTCTTGAGAATCATCTTATTTTTTTCCAGATAAAATCTTTTCCTCTTTTCCTCTTAGGTTAATAATAAGGTAAAATACAGAAATAATTTCAAAAGTTAAAAATAATTGAGTGTAATTCAGGCAAATATCAGAAAATAATCAACAGCTAATGTGTTAAGCAGCAGTTATGTATTTAGCACTGCACTGATTATGTTTAAAGATGAATGAAAAATAAATGAGGATTAACAGTTTTTTGGGTGTGTGAGCATGCATGGGTGTGTGCATGGGAAAGACAGATCGGGAAAAAATGGAGTAGGAATAGAAGGAAAATTAAAACATAATTTATAACCAAGAGCTCAACCAAACCATAGTTTATAATGAAACTAAACCATGGTTTATAACCAAGAGCTAAACTGCCTAGTGTAGAATGCAGTGTAGAAATCTGAAAAGGTCTAGATTCATATGTGTGTGCCAAAGTAATTGGAAAAGTTTATTCAACAAGGTGGAGATTTTGGAATCTACACACAAATTTTGCAAAAGAATTTGTTATTTAGGCTAAGATTTTCAACAGTTCAATAGCAAAAGTTTTCTGAAGTAAAAAAGAAAATCTGACTTCAGCATTCAGTTATAAAACAACATTTAAGAGGCAATAGGAAAAAGGACTAAAAGTGACTAGGCCGGGACTTTATATATCTAAATCCATTCTTAGTGGGATTTTAAAATAAACATAGATTGTAAGCCAGACAGTTGCACAACAGTGACTGGAACCTGAAAGAGTGTAGCCTGGGGAAAAAAAAAATGGAACTCAGTTTTAGAAATGCACAGCAAAATAGGAAAGGTGCAGCCAATCATGTGGAGAAACGATCTGTCGTTCAATGGGAAAAAAGAACCCATATGACTCCCATTATTTACATACTAGTTCCTTTAGGGATTGGACATCTTGGGGACTCAAGAAATTTAGGCAAAGAAGGGTTGTCTACACAGCTTGGTACCACCATTGATGAAGGGTTTGAGTGAGATGGGGTAGTTGCCACTGCCCCAAAGTGCTTAGTATTACTATCTTAGTCTGCTTGGGCTGCCATAACAAAACACCATGGCCTGAGTAGCTTAAACAACAGAAATTTATTTTTGGTTCTAGAGTCTGGGAAGTCCAAGATCAATGTGCCAGCAAGGTAGGTTTCATTCTGAAGCTTCTTCTCTTGCCTTCTAGGTGGCTGCCATCTTGCTGTGTGCTCACATGACCTCTTTGTGCACACTTAGGGGGTGAAAAAAAAACAAAAAAAACAAGCTCTCTGGTATCTGTTTTTTAAGGGCACTAATCCCATCATGAGAACCTGACCATTCGTGGCCTCATCTAACCCTAATTACCTCCCAAAGTCTTCATCTCCACGTACCATCACATTGAGGATTAGGGCTTCAAACTATGACTTTAGGAGGAACACAAACATTCATTCTATAACAACTTCCTCCCTTAACTGCTCAGTCTTAGGTAGGAACTTTTCAAAGTAAGCCCCTGCTAGGATTGCCAAGTAAAATTCAGGACACTCCGTTTCATTGAATATCAGATAAATAGCAAGCAATATTTTAGTATAAATATGCCTCATGCAACATTTGTAACATACTAAAGAAGTATTGGCTGTTTATCTGAAATTAAAATTCAACTAGGAAGCTTGTAGTTTTGTTTACTAGATCTGGCAAGCCTAGCCTCTCATTTGTGGGTCAAAGGCTTTTGCTGTCTAAACCAACCAAATATTCATTCCAAACCAAGAGAGACTAAGATGAATTGGCCCAGACAGCTATGATCACTCCAGCTTTATAAATTGGTATTTGAACAGTGTAATGATTTGCTGTGTCACACAGTCAGCAATTTTTCAGTTACAGGTATTGACTATTCCCATTATTTCCTCTAGCATTTAGTCATTGGAAAGCTTGAGAGCTTTGCTTTAAGTACACTTAACTGAAAGGCATGTCAAAAGTACTTCTCTCTTATATAGAGTGACTTAAAAGAAGGGCAGACCTGGCTTTTGTTCAGGCCCTGCTACTCTGACAAAGTCACTGATAGAGCATTCTGCACATGGGGTAGCTCACCAGCTTTCTGCAGTTTTCTGTGAGAAGGCTCTGAGTTAGGGAAAGAGTATTTGTAATGAGAGAAGTGGGATTTAAATTCGACTTCCACTGATGTCCCCCATGTGGACTTGAGAGAATTACAGACCTTACCAAGCTTCAGCTTCCTCTACTCCCCAATTAGGATAACAACATACCCACTGCCCTCAATTTTACAAATGGGATAATTATAAATAGTAATATAAATAGTAATTATAGACATTCTCATATAACCTACCATGTGCTGAGATCAGCAGATTTATTAACATATTTAACATTCAGCATACCCTATGGAGGTAAATACAATTGTTATCTGTATTTTATAGATTCAAAAATAGAGGTAAAAAATAGTTAAGTAGTACTGCAGGGATTGTTTAATGTATATTATTATTTTATCATCATCATCATCATCATTTTAGTGCTCAGCAAAGGAGGACCAACAAAGTCATGATCATTTATTTAAAAATTATTTAAATATTCAGTTTGTCCCTGAAAAGCACTGTTGGTTTGCTGTGCTTCATAATTTGGAACCTCAGATCATTTTGGTTAAAAAAAATAGATGCAGCCATGTCTAATATGAACATAGCTTAATTGCCACATTCTGTCAGCTACTTTGTCACAAAATTAGGTAACTTTGGAGCTAGCAGAAGGGGAACTCTAATCTCAGTATATTCAAGAATTTATGAGGGCATTTACCTGTTAAGAGTCTTTCAAAACCTGTAAGAGCATAATAAGTGGGGGAGAAGCTAAGTGAAATAGAAAGTTGGCATTCAATTTACGGCGTCAAAGAGTCTTTGACTTTATTGTTTCTCTTCACTTGTTGAAACATATTGCCCATTTTCAGATTTTATATTTTACCTTTTTTATTTGACAGAGCTATTTATTATTATCTGAGACTCCAGTAAAAACATGAATATTATTTCTAAGATTTTGGCACTGACATTTTAGAGTCAAATTTTATATCTACTAAAATATGAAATATGATAACTTTTTAGTCAGGCCAGATGATCTACTTTGAACTGACAACATTTAGACAATCCTATGTCAAATTATATATGGATAAATACATCAATATGAATCATATAATTATCCCATCCTAGGTTAAGAATCAAGGTCGAAGGTCATCTATTCCACACCCACTTATTTTTTTGAGTTGTGGTGACATTTTCACTTAGTGTATAAATATATGTGACTGGTAATACTGTAGTTTCTTTCTTTAACTTAGAGTCTGTAAATGGAAAAAACAATAGTTACAATTCTGGAATATATGCTATGAAAATTCTCTATGAACTTCTCTATTCCCACAAAAGCCCTATGAGCTAGTTATTACTCTTCTTATATATATATTATAAAGCTGACTTGGGAGTTCAAGTCACTTGCCCAAATTCACTGTTGGTAAGTAATGGAGGCAGAATTTGAAGTTTCTTCGGTCTGTCTGATCTGAAGTCCTGTGCGCTATTCATTGTAGTACATTGCCTCTTGGGGAGGGAAGGGAAGAAAGGGCTAATTGCTGCCTGGAGTGAGGGATGCTGGATACATGTTATTTCTGCACAGATTCTTGTGCATGTATACAGTATATATATCACCATCACCCACCCTGCTTTCACTGGGATGGAGCAGAAAGGAAGGTTATTATTCAAATTCCACTCTTTCTCAATAAATACTTTGACTTGTTCTTAGCTGCTCCAACAAGAAAGAACTACTGGTAACTACTAAGCTGGTATTTCTGGTGGTCTGAAAACTGTAGCTTCCTAAGCTTCTCTGTAACTAATTGAAAAGAACTTTGAGAGTAGTAGGTGGCAGAAAGTAGTAAGTGCCAGAACTCCCAGGTAATGCTTTTCTGAGATGCTCCAACAAGAAAGAACTATTGGTAACTACTAAGCTGGTATTTCTGGTGGTCTGAAAACTGTAGCTTCCTAAGCTTCTCTATAACTAATTGAAAAGAACTTTGAGAGTAGTAGATGGCAGAAAGTAGTAAGTGGCAGAACTCCCAGGTAATGCTTATGCAAAACTAAAAGCTAAAGTTTGGGAACCAACATAAGCTAAAAAACTGTGAATGAGAGACAGAGAGAGAGAAATTTTATTAGAGAAACCATTCCATTCAATATTTGTTGAGTTCTTACTGTTGGTAAAATATTGAGCTCAGCTTTGTAGGATAAAAACATGAATGCCAAGATGAATACGGCATTTTCCTGTCCTCATAGGTGTAATCTCCTTTCATATAAAGCATATCTTATGTTTAGTAATTTTTCTAGCAAGTAGCATGATACCAGTCACTAGCTGGTAAATTCATAATTGTTTAGTAATAAGATTTGACTCAGTGTGTGATATAATTCACCATCTATAAAGTGCTCAAAAATTACAAATCTGTTTTCCTGCTATTAAAATGAAGACACACAATGTCAAATTCAGAATGTTTATGATATTATGATTTCAAATTAAGCCGATGGAAAAAACTAATTGGAAATCATAGTACTGCACTGAACACAAGGACATTTGCTGCTAGTATTGTAGTTGGCTAAGCTCAGACATCTTTAATCTCATTTAAGTGATGTCATAAGCTCCATCATATTGAATGTTAAATACTTATACAAAAAATATAAATGACTGGATATTTTCACCTATTGTATTTGAAATCTTCCCAGTTATTAAGTTCTGAGTGATGGCAGAAGAAATATAAAAAACAAGTCACAGAAATTGATTTGATTTTGTGAAGTATAACCTGCCCTGACAATTCAGGTGTTACTTAGAAAGTTTCTATTTGTAAAATTCAGGTCACTCCTTCCTCCTTCCTTGAGAGAAATCATTTTCAAACTATTTTTTTAAGTTGATGCCTCTTATTCAGGATTTTGCTGATTATTTAAAAATTATAAATATGGAGAATTATGTAGTTTTATAGTTTTAATTAAATTTTAACTATTAAAATATGTCTTTCTTTATATGCAGAAGTCATGCTCCAGTGATATAAATAAACATGTTAAATTAACAGATATTATGAATACATGTCTTGATTTTGTAAAAAGCTCTGCATAATGACTCAAAGGCATAATGCTTGCAAACAGCTGGAAAGCAAGGTTGTCTTGCCCTTTCTGAAATACTCTGGGGAATAAGAGATTTTGCAATGAAAGAAGAACACATATATTTAATAAATTTCTTTTTTAATTGGTGTGGAATTGCAGGATAGGCAGGCAAAAGGTTGAGAAAACACATGGAAAAACTGATTATACATATCAGCCAATTATGACCTCAATTAACATACTCAGAAGGGCCCGTTTTTTCTTGTCCCAGAGATCAAATAAGGAACATCTTGGGGGTAAAGTCATTAAAAGACTTTAGCAAGCAGTTTTTAATTATACATCATTTGTACATCTGTGAATAATTACCTGGTAGTTGCTACCTGGTGACAGTGATTGACAGAAAGGTACCAATGATTCCAGGCTAAAGATACATCTTTAATATGAGCAAAGGATACAATAACTTCGCAGCATGAAGACAGTGACAGCAAGGAGCTCTCCAGCACTCACAGTTGAAAGGCAAAGTTGCCTGGCCTCCCAGTATTTGAGGTGCCAGTTGCCAATGGCAGCCCTGAAGTAGGGTGAGGATCCCTTTAGGTTCTTCTTAGATATGTGTCTTTCACTGTTCTTATAGGGAGCTTATGCCGGCTTAGGTCATTCTTTTCTTTCTGATTGTTCAATAGATAAAGGCACTGGCTCCAACCTCAGAATGTTCCTGAGTATTAACAATAGGTGAATCAAATATCAATTTCTTTTATATAATGTACCTCTAGCAGACCAGCTTCAGACCTTCGTGCCCAAATGTGTTGGATTCTCAGAAAACAAGCTTAAGCCTCATTGTCTATTGTGAAAACCTCCTTTTGCCTTTTTGTCTATTAAAAAAAAGAAGTGGCCGAACATGGTGGCTCGTGCCTCTAATTCCAGCACTTTGGGAGGCTAAGGTGGGAGGATTACTTGAGCCCAGGAGTTCAAGAACAGCCTGGGCAACATGGTGATACCCTGTCTCTACAAAAATTTCATCAGATGTGGTTATGCATACCTGTGGTCACAACTACTTAGGAGGCTGAGGCAGGACGATCCATCGCTTGAGCCTAGGAGGTTGAGGTTGCAGTGAGGCATGTTCACACCACGTCACTCCAGCCTGGGTGATAGAGCAAGACCCTATCTCAGGAAAAAATAAGTAATAAGATGGCAAAATTATGACACATTTTCCTGTGAACAGCACACTTCAGGGTCTGAGGCAGCTGCAGTTTCAACTGGAGAGATCTAGATAGCATTAAGTGTTTATTTAGGTGTGGCAGACTGAATCCTCTTGACCTGTGAACATATACTATTTGACTAGAGTGATGTTTTGCCTTTTTAAATTAAATTTGAGTAGTTTTGGTTGGAGCATTACTACTATTTGCAACAATCCTCAAAACTCCCTATTTATTGCTTTTTGCTTGGCTCACTTCACATCCATTGTAGGCATTTGTCTGTGTTCTGGTTTAATGCTGTGAGTTTTAATAAGAGTTTCTGTACGGAGCCTGAGATATCTCTATAAGAAGAAAAAGTAGGAAGGTTGTTAGTTAAACCACTGGAGTCAGAATCTCAGGAAAACAACAATCAGCAACCAGGCCCAGAGCTGGGGAAGCATCATGGAGGTTTGGAGCAGACTGGAGATAGAGGTCAGAAGGCTGTACTGAAAGACAGGGCATCAGAAGCAAAACTCGGGACTGGATGATTGAGCACATGACCTTGGCTAAGTACATGGGCAACAGCTGTAAAAACTAGAGCAAGAAAAGTAGGGGATTCTCTTATATCCCCTCCTGAGTTGTAGAATGTGTAATAAGACAGTTTGGGCTTAGTTGGAAACTTAGCTAGGGCTGATTGTTCAGGGAAATCTTTGCAACTATTTTTCATCAATGCTATTTTTTCTTTTTCATTTTCTATTTTTCTTTCTATTCAGTTAACAGGATTTGGGGACAGTTTTAGATAGGAGGGTAAAACTCTAATAATATTTTTCTATGCCTACTGTATTTTTTTACTTATTTTATTTTATCGTATTTTTATTTTGAGGCAGGCATCTTGCTCTATTACCCAGACAGGAGTGATCTTGGCTCACTGCAACCTCTGCCTCCCAGTCTCAAGAGATCCTTCCATCTCAGCCTCCTGAGTAGCTGGGACTACAGACATGTGCCATCATGCCCAGCTAATTTTTGTATTTTTTGTAGAGACAGGGTTTTGCCACATTGCCCAGGCTGGTCTCACACTCTGGACTCAAGTGATCTGCCCACCTTGGCCTTTCAAAGTATTGGGATTACAGGCATGAGCCACCACGCCTGGCCACAATTCTTTCTTTACTTATGGTTTCTACTCTTTTGATCTTCACTCTCCTTAACACTTTTTTAAAACAATCACTTTCCAATTCCTACTGCTGACTCCATTCATGGATTTCCAGAATTAATTATTAATGTGCTCAGTCATGCTGCCCCTTGGGCCTAAAATTTCTGGTGTATATTACCTACCCTTACTTCTTCCACAAAACATTGAGTACAATGGTCTTTACATCACTTTATTTCATGAAGTAACTATTGCTATACCCATTTTACAGGAGACAAGATGGAATCTTACAGAAGTGAAATCATAATCCCAAGGTAACACCCCTTCTAATTTGAAGTGTCATCTTCTGGCTGCAATTGTGATCTACTAAAGCACTTATGATTTTTAATATCTGAGTTTTTGCCTTCTGCATCTTCCATTAGACCATGAAACACTTGAAGACAGTGGCTAGGACTTACCCATTTTAGTATCCGTCATACCAGCTAAAGTCCTGGTTCATAGCAGGTGCTTAGTTACTGAATAGATGATGAATGAAAAAGTTATTAGTAAATTTATATATTTGGTGAATACAATCAACAAAGGGAGCCTCACCTTGGGATCTATGCCTTATTTGGCTTATTTCAGGAACAGGTTACCTGGGGTTGTTACTTTTCCTCCAGTCTCCAAAGGTTCTAAGGATTTGAACAAATCCAGACAGAAATAATGAGCAAAGCTGCAATTAGAATTTGGACTGTCTGATTGCATGTCTTCTAAAGTATGCAGTACAGCTAACAACAAGGATATGATCAAAACTTATGTAAATAATAAATATTCATCTTTCTTACTCTTGCTTTAACTCAGTGGTACCACCATGTTTAATATTTGCTTAATCAAGCACTAATTTTTTAAAAAGCTATTTCTACATTCAAATATTTCAGTTGATAATCATTAGCAATTTCTCAAGATTTTTAAAATGTGGAGCGCATTAGTTTTCTATTTTAATTTGTGACTTTGGAAATGAATATCTAAGCATTAAATGTTGAACGCATGGTACAGTGAAAATAGTTCTGAACGAGGACTTAAGGAGGGAAGTCGGAGGCCAATGGACTAACTTCTATCTTTGCTGTTAATTATCCAATCACTCCACAAACATGTATTGAGTCTCACTTATCGGGTGAGCAGTGTATAGTTGGTATTGTTGGTATTTACACATAGATAAATGAAATGAGGTCCTGGGATCATCAAGTAACTCACTATTTGGTAGACGAAACAAACAAGTGAACATATGAGATAATATAGAAAATATATAAATATGGCCGGGCACGGTGGCTCATGTCTCTTATCCCAGAACTTTGGGAGGCTGTGGTGGGCGGATCACGAGGTCAGGTGATCGAGACCATCCTGGCTAAGAGGGTGAAATCCCGTCTCTACTAAAAATACAAAAAAATTAGCAGGGCGTGGTGGCGGGCACCTGTAGTCCAAGCTACTAGGGAGGCTGAGGCAGGAGAATGGCGTGCACCCGGGAGGCGGAGCTTGCAGTGAGCCAAGATCACGCCACTGCACTCCAGCCCGGGCGACTGAGCGAGACTCTCTCTCAAAAAAAAAAAAAAAAAAAAGAAAAAGAAAAAGAAAAAGAAAAGAAAATATATAAATACAAACAGAGAGTGAGAGAGAGAGAGAGAGAGACCAGAAAAAGAGAGAAGGAGAAAGAGAGAATGCAAAAACCAAGAGGAAAGAATGATCCACTCTCCAACTAGAAAGGTAGCTCTCAATCTGAAAAGTCACTTGATTACTTTGTCTATTTTGCTTATCTGCTACATCAATGGTTCCTAAATTTTCATTATTTTGGCTACCACCTTCATATTTTTTGACATACCTTATTATCAATTTTATATACTTGATTTATTTAAATGGGCTTTAACTCAATTGACTTATTTTTTAAAGGGAGTATTGTTCCGGACAGTAGTATCTATGAAATCACAGGCTTGAAGAGCTGTTTCTTTCTTTTTGCTAGCATTATACTGAATTTGATTAAATTACCTACCCAGACTAGGAGCATCAAAAATTACCTCTGAGTATTTAGAGTACCACAGCAAACTGAACTGATGCCAATGTAAAACAAATATATTCCTATTAAAGTCTGTTTTTGAATAGTATGTTACTACCTTCAGCATCATATGTACCATCAGTGGTATACAACCTATTACAATTTAGATAATTCTGGACAACATGTCCCTTCTAAAGTCCTTTCTGTCACTTATATTTTAGCTTCTGTAAAAGTTTTTGTTTTATAAATAATTTTCTCAATACCTGTCAGGTAATTCAAACTCACAGAGGCCTGAAAGAACAAGTAACCTTTTTGAGTCCCTGTAGGATTTTGCTAATTTCAAAGACAGAGTTTAAAACAAATGATCAGAAGTAGAAGCGAGATCTCCTCTTCTTGCCTGGGGGTGTTTGAAACAGCCCAGATCCATAAAAAGGAGGAGATTAATTTCTGAACATGTTTATTTAGACAATAGAGGGTGGAATAAAACATTCTCTAATCCCAACTTCACAGAAGCTTTTCTCTTGATTGAAAACTGGTGCTTGTCATAAATATAAATATTGGATTAAGGAGGAATAGGAGACATTAAAGTAAAAAGCAGGAAAATCATTGTGAGCACTGGAGCAGAATAATTATTCTATAATTTGTTTATGATTCATTTATGATTTATTACTTAAAATTACACAAAGGAATCATGGTAGCATGTGGTTTAGGAATAAAGCTATAACACATTAGGGAAATTAAAGGAAAACGTGTCCTCTAATAAAAAATGCAGCAATGATTGACATATTAAAAACACAAAGAGGTGTTTTTCCTCTTTGACATAATATTTAAATTCACTTTTATTGCCATATTCTTTTCTGAAACAATGACCCACTTCTCTGTGATTCTCATAGCAGAGGGACTACAGGATGACAGTATGTTTTGTAAAACTTTATTTAATAATGAATTTTACTTTCTTATGATTTATTGATATTTACATTTTAGAAATTACTCTATTTTGTAATGTAAAACCATGGTGAAAGAAGGCACAGTACACAACCTTTTAATTTGTTATCAAATGACAGTTTTGGTAAAAATACTTATAAACTCATTATCAAGGCAGCTACATTTGTCTTACTAATTTGTGTATTCACTCAGATGTACTAACTATAGTAAGGGACTTCCCACATCGCCCTTGGCCAAAGAATGTTTTTAAGAACTTACATCACTTAGTACCTTCATTGATTCATTTAAATAAATATTTTGGGGAACTGTTATGGGGTGAATTTTGTTCTCTAAAAAGATATGTTGAAGTCCTGACAGCACTTCAAGATGTAATCTTATTTATAAATAAGGTCATCAATTAGCTAATTCATTAATTAGATGTAACACGTATTAAGATGAGGCCATACTGAAGTAGGATGGGCTGTTAATTCAGTATGACTCGTGTCCTTACAAGAAGAGAAGAAGAAACGCAGAGACACACAAGAGGAACACTATGTGACTATGGAGGCCCAGAGATGTGAATGACACAACTACAAGCCGAGAAAAATCTCGGATTGCCAGCAAACCACAGAGACTAGAAAGAGTCAAGGAAGGAGTCTCCCCACAGATTTCAGAGAAAGTTTGGTCCTGCTGACACCTTGATTTTAGACATATAACCTCTAACATGAAGAGAAAGTAAATCTCTGTTTGTGGTAATTTGTTACGACAGCCCCAGGACACTAATAGAGACACAGGGATGTGTTCAGGACCTGTTGTAGACAATTGCAACACATTGGTAAACAATTCAGACAAAGACTTCTGCACCGGTGGTGCTGACATTCTCAAGAGGGAAGAGCAGTCTGGAGATGTGTTAGATGGTAATAAAGAGTATCAGTCATGCACAGAAGAGGTGGGTGGGAGGGGAAGGATTGAAGGGTGCAATTGTGAGACAGGTGGAGAGATAAAGGTAAGATTTGAGTCAAAATTTGAAGAAGATAATGGTATCAGTCTTGGAAAAACATTAGAGGAAGAACACTTCAGGGAATGGGAGACCCTAAGTGCAAAGCTTTAAGGCTGGAGCATGATGAAGATGCAAGAGGAAGGGCAGAAGGAGCTGAGACAAGGGCAGTGACTGGGGAGCCAGAGCTTGTAGGGCCTTGTATGTTTTTTTGCTCAAAGAAATAGGGAGCTATTGGAGGCTAAAGCAGAGGCATGACATGGTCTGACCTACCTTTAAAAGAATCACATTTGTTTCTGTGTTCAGAATAGACCATAAAGGGCATGGATAGAAACCAGAGGACAAATTCATAGGGTATTTTCACAATTCAGGCAAGAGACAAGGATTGCTCAGAGCAAAGTGGTGGCCTTGGAGAGATTGCAGAATGGTTGCATTATAGAAAGAGCCTCAAGATAGAATCAACAAGATTTCCTGGAAAATTGGATGTGGGGTGTGAGAGAACAAGAGGAGTAAAGAATGATTCCTAGACTTTTGCCTTCTCAAAGAATAAAACTGCAGTCATCTAAAATATGGAAGCAGATTTAGGGATGGGGCAGGAATAGCTTCCATTTTAGAGATGTACTTTATTTTTCTCCTCAATTCTTTGTTTTCAGGTTTTGTCTGTTTCATTGTTTGGTATCTAGAATATTTGTTACTTTTATATGTTTTTTTTTGTTTTGTTTTTTGTTTTTTTGAGGCGGAGTCTCGCCCTGTAGCCCAGGCTGGAGTGCAGTGGCGTGATCTCGGCTCACTGCAAGCTCTACCTCCCAGGTAAACGCCATTCTCCTGCCTCAGCCTCCTGAGTAGCTGGGCCTACAGGCGCCCACCACCATTCCAGCTAATTTTTTTTTTTTTGTATTTTTAGTAGAGACGGGGTTTCACCGTGTTAGCCAGGATGGTCTCGATCTTCTGACCTCGTGATCCGCCCGCCTCAGCCTCCCAAAGTGCTAGGATTACAGGCGTGAGCCACCGCGCCCGGCCCTATATGATGTATGTTTTTAAAGTTATTTCTAGTTTCTTTTACTCTAATCATTATTTTTTTCTTTTTTCCTTTGATTTATTTTTATTCTATCACTGAAAGATTTTCCTGATTTTTCTACTTTCACTCTTTTCTCTCCCTCCTTCTTTCATTCTTTCTTTCAATTGTGCTACTCTTATCTTCCTAGTTTTTAACTAACTAGTTTTTAACCAGGAAAGCCTATCCCATAGATGCCAACCACACTCAGAAAAAGACAGTCTGATCCTCTTTTTCCAGAAATAGGTGTGCTCTACTTCAGAGCAGATGACTCGTGAGAGTTGCAGGATGGCTTCAGACGGTGACACATGTGCAGTAAAACCAATGGTTGTGTGCCTTTAAGATCCCTCCATGAAATGGCTCCAGAGTTTGCTTCTCAATGATTAAGACTCCTTTCCCAGAATATGCCCATAGGTGTCCTAAAACGGATTCCTGACTTGTCAGCTTTTTTGATGGGTTTTAAAATGCGTGTCTGTAAGAGATTTAGATGATATATATTTAGATTTAGATTATACATATATAAGCCATAAATATATGAATTTATCTATATAAGCTTAAATTATATATATAGCTTAAATGTGTATATTTAAGCTATAATGTATATTTAATTTTAATTTAATATAATTTTAATGTAATGTAATTTTATTTTATATATAATGTATATTTGATTTAATATGCATTAAATAGAAGCTATATTATAGCTTAATTTAAGCTATATATATTATATATATAAATACTTATATATATATAGCTCAATATTTAAGGGTTTATTTTCCCTTTATCTTTCCAGCTGGGAGGAGGGAAATAGTCTAGTGAAGGTAGGGGTGCATTCATTTTTCCTAGCTTTGGAACTGCTATTAAGCTGTTGAGCTTGTTTGACCAGAAAATTCTTTCTGGCCTGGTTTTATGCCCTGGAAGTTTGTATAGCATATGCCTAAACACCTGCATCCCTCATGTCAAGAGCGTGTTGTCTGCATGAATAAAATTCACTCTCTAATAATCTTTTCAGTTTGTACTCATTCTACTCAGCTAAAGGCTGAATTGATTTTCTCTGACCAGAAGAATTTTTTTTTTTTTTTTGAGATAGAGTCTCGCTTTCTCACCCAGGCTGGAGTGCAGCCCCACCATCTCGGCTCACTGCAACCTCCATCTCTTGAGTTTAAGCTTTTGCCTCAGTCTCCCGCATAGCTGGATTACAGGTGCATGCTACCACGCCTGGCTAATTTTTTTTTTTTTTGTATTTTTAGTAGAGACAGATTTTCACCATTTGGCCAGGCTGCTTGAACCCCTGACCTCAGGTGATCTGCCCAGTTCAACCTCCCAAAGTGCTGGGCTTACAGGCATGGACCATTGCACTTGCCTGGCCACCAGAATAAATGAAAGTGTTGGTGGGCCCTACCTGGATCCATTGAGGAATAGAAGAATTGTTTCCCTGTAGAATATTTTTCTAGAGACACATGTAAATAAATGCATGGAACATTTCTTACCACATACACTTATGAGAACATGCAGGTCACATTTAATGGTACTACCTGGACAACATGAAGGGATTTTGAGATTATTTTAGGGTTAGTGTATACTCATGTCTTAGTTATCTATTACCACATAATAAATTACCTCAAAATTTAGTGGCTTAAAACAACAATAGGCATTTAGTATCTCACAGCTCTTCTGTGGGTCAGGAATTCAGGAGCTTAATTGTGTTCTTCTGGACAGGGGTCTCTCATGAGGTTGCATCCATGTAAAGGCTTTAGAGAGTCTGCATTCATGATCAAGGTAGTTCATTTATATGGCCAGTTGGTGCTGGCTGTTGGCAGGAGGCCTTAGTTTTTCTCCATGTAAACTGCTCCATAAGGCTGCTTGAATGTCCTCATGCATGGTGGCCCACAGAGACTGAACCAAGAGAACAAACAAGGCAGAAGCTAAAATTTCTTTGATAACCCAGCCTCTGATGACACATGGTGCCATTTCTACAATGTCCTATTGGTTAACACATATCAGCCCTATTGAATGTGGTAGTAGGCTGTCCAAGGGCATGGGTGTAGGAGGCTGGCTCATGTTGGGAGCATGATTGCAACAGTATACCATAATGAATACACTGGATTATGGGAGAAATATCAATTACTCCCTCATGTTCCAACTTGGTGGAGTGGCTGCTGATCCAACAGTACTCAAGATTAGACTGATGAAACCAGGGTCTCAGAATATGAACAGGGCCTTTTTCTCTCTACATACCTTTGAACGGCCTACTTATGCATTCTTTGCCTGACATCTATTAAAACTAAGAATGATATTACTTCTATTAAAAGGAAGATTTTTCTGATATCCCCAAGTCAGGGTGCAACTCCTCTGTTTTTGCATAGTACTCTTTACATAGTGCTTCTTATAACTTGCACTTAACACATTGCATTGTGATTACTTTACCCTCTATCAAGCTGCCTGCTGTGCTGGAAGCCATTGGCTTGGATTAAAGGTGACAGTATTATTGAAGATTTTGCTGAATTAATCAGCTTTGATTTTGCGTGTCCATTTCTGCCCCATCTATTTAATGAATAATTGATCTGTCAAACAGAATACTAGCTTTTTATTAAATAGCCGTATCATATTAGATGCCAATGTAGAGTATGCCAATGTGGCTTAATTGTTTTCATCAAATGCATTCCATCTCTTTAATTAAATTAAGTATCCACTCCAGACAACTGAAAAAGCCAGACTTCTCCTTTAAAATTCCATGATTCAATGACTTGAGGGTTCAGCCCCAGTCAGTGCAATTTCTTTTGAGATGGATTCTTGCTATGTTACCCAGACTAGTTTCAAACTTCTGGGCTCAAGTGATTTCCAAGCCTCAGCCTCCTGAGTATATTGGACTACAGGCATGTGCCACTGAGTGTGACGTTATTAACATGCCAGTTTTCTATACAAAAACTTTGTTTCTTTTCACTTTGGTGGCATACTGTGGAATGCAACCCAGCTCCATTTGTTCAATGCACATAATATTTCAGTGATGCTGTATTCTGACAACCAATTTCAGCCTAAAATGAAATAAAACAGAAAAACCTCCTTTTTTTAAAAAAAATCAATCTTTTTTTCTACAACATAAATAAAATGAAAGTCAAACATTCAATTCTAACTCTGAGTTGACAGGCGTATATCCCACACTTTGAGGCATTGTTATTAAAAAGACAATTATGTCTTCACTCTAATGGATTATTGGCTGTTCTAAAGTTTGTCTCGTAACTAAGAAAAAGTTAAATCATTGAGAAAAGGGAAAACATGCAGTTTCTCTAAGTTTATCTTACTGAGAATGCAAACAGTGATCCTGATCTTTATCCTAACATGTAATGCTTGGAGGCATTGGATTCTTCCATAGTTGGTCTTGTACCTTTCCGTCTCTCTAACTATACCTGCCGGCTTGAGTTGGTCCTACAAAAACCTAGTGACATTGAAGAATGTTATCCCCCACCCCTCCAAAAAATGTATGGTACATCTGTATAGCTGTTCATGGGATTACAGAATGAAGAGTTAAAGCACCTCTTGCCATGATGAAAGGAAAAAAACAAAAACAAAAACAAACAAACAAACAAACAAAAAAACCTTAAACCAGGTGAAGAGATAGAGTGGATATTGGTGGCTATATATTTGTCTTCATCAATGTTAACAAACCAAGATTCGACACTGTTAATTCCTTAATTGCTCACTGATATGATTTGGCTGTGTCCCCACCCAAATCTCATACTGAATTGTAATCTCCATAATCCCCATGTATCTAGGGAGAGACTTGATGGGAGGTGATTGGATCATGGAGGTGGCTTCCCCCATGCTGTTCTTGAGATGGTGAGTGAGTTCTCATAAGATCTGATGGTTTTATAAGGGGCTCTTCTCCCTTCACTCCTCTTCTTCTCTCTCTCACCTGCTGTCATCTAATATAAAGACACATGCACACATAATGTTTATTGCAGCACTGTTCACAATAGCAAAGTCTTGGAACCAACCCAAATGCCCATCAATGGTAGACTGGATAAAGAAAATGTGACACATATACACCATGGAATACTATGCAGCCATAAAAAAGGATGAGTTCATGTCCTTTGTAGGGACATGGAAGAAGCTGGAAACTATCATTCTCAGCAAACTAACAAAAGAACAGAAAACCAAACACCACATGTTCTCACTCATAAGTGGGAGGTGAACAATGAGAACACATGGACACAGGGAGGAGAACATCACACACTGGGGCCTGTCAGGGGGTGGGGGTCTAGGGGAGGGATAGCATTAGGAGAAATATCTAATGTAGATGATGAGTTGATGGGTGCAGCAAATCACCGTGGCACATATATACCTATGTAGCAAACCTGCACGTTCTGCACATGTACTCCAGAGCTTAAAGTATAATTAAAAAAAAAAAGATGTGCCTCTTCCCTTTTCACCATGTTTGTAAGTTTCCTGAGGCCTCCCCACCCATGCAGAAAAGTGAGTCAATTAAACCTCTTTCTTTTATAAATTACCCAGTCTCGGGTTTTTCTTTGTAGCAGTATGAAAATGTATGAATAAACTCATTTACACAAATGACTTCGTATTCTTATTGGTGTTTTTATGTATTCTAATATACATATTTAATTTCTTAGAGCTAAAATCCCTAATGTGAATTTTGATTGTGTTTTTCTTCTGTGTTATGGGCTAAATTGTGTCATCCTCCCTCACAAAAAGAAAGATTATAATACGTTCCAGTACCTCAAATGAAACTATATTTGTTTAATGGGACTTACAGAGTTAAATTAAAATGAGGTCATTAGTGTGGACCCTAAGCCAATATCACTGCTGTCCTCATAAGGAGATGAAATTTGGATACAGACATGTAAAGAAGGAAGACAATGTGAAGACAAAGGGTGAAGATTAGCCATCTTCAAGCCAAGGAGAAAGGTCTAGAATAGATCATTCCTCATAGTCTGCAGAAGTAACCTACCCCACTGACATCTTGATTTTGGATGTCTAGCCTCCAGAACTGTGTGAAAATAAATTTCTGCTGGTTTATCCATTCACTCTGTAGTGTTTTGTTACAGTAGCCATAGCAAGCTTATAAATTGCCCGAAGGGCATGACCTGTTATAACCTGCCACTGAAAAGTAGTTCATAGTCAAAATGGTTTTATAATCTAAAGACAGCAGGAGAAGTATCCCTAAGGTAGCAGGAGAAGTATCTCCTAAATATAACAGTTTCTGCCTGTTTCCAGAATATCAGAGTAGGTATGACAAGAATATTCCTGGTGTGGCATGAGGAATAGTAGTAATGAGATAATATTTCAATTCAGATAGTATTCGATCTTCAGCAGCATCAAGACATTCACCTAATAAAATATATCTTACAAACATTTGTGAGTATTAAATGTGATAACCACAAAAGTACTTAGATTAACACAGTCTTAGCACATAGTAGGGTGCTCGCTACATGTTCTTGCTCTCCTATCAGTTTGTAGTCAAGTATAACTCACAGATTATTTTTCTGCTTTTCTTTTACCTCACTAGTCTGTGTCCCTAATTTAAGGAAGCAATCTTCTTCTCTTTTCTCTATTTTCCATGAGGATATCTTGTTAAGAAATATCATCTTCATTGTGATTACTTGTTGCTCTAATTTTTAAAGATCCCCTTCAAATCTAGTCCTAGCAAATTTTTCTATCTTCAGAGGTGTCTGAATTAATGAGTATGCCCTGTAGTCAGCAATTCAGATCTTTGATTAAAAATAGACATACAGGCTGTCCTTGTTTTGCACAGAACCATATTAACTGTAACTCATGCGAAGTGAGGAATTGATCACTATGAATGAATTCATTTAACATAATGCTGGTACTGTGGAAAGCATGGACTACCTGTAAGATTTAAAGAGATGCCCTTCAATTTATTTTCCTATATTGTGGTTGACCAATACATAATATCAGTATGCCTTATTCAAACACACATACATACAATAGATACACAAACACACACCCATAATTTTATTCAAAATTTATTTTTCTCATTATTCACAAGCATATTCTTGCTTTTCTATTTACTTGAAATGATTTCTCCTATCCATTCCTGTTCTTCCTATTAAACTTCCTGCATACTTCAAATTTCAAATTGAACATAATCTCTTGGAGGACTTTTACTAAATTCTCCCAGGAAAGTCAGTTTATCTCTCATCAGTTCTCCTAGTATTTTCAGTATCTCTTAATATGGATGAAATGGATCACCTTTGGCTGGTCAGTGATGAGGCAACATTTTGGCTGTGAGGAAGCACCACCTACCTCTAGTCTGTGTGCTCCGGGTGACTTGTTTTCAATTGCTGCATTCTTGAAGTACATTTGGGCCATTACAGACTGTTCAAGGATGCTAAAAGAGATGCCCAGCCATATGCCTTGATTTTCTTTGAGAACTCGGAGTCTGTGGGAGAAAATTAGAAGCAAAAATTTCAGACATATGTAGATCTAATGACCCTGATGACTGGAGTACAAGAGGCAGTGCTTGACTGACTAATGTTCTACAATGATGCTTACACCTTAATCTCTAGATTCTGTGACTATTTTATGTTATATTACATGGCAAAAAAAGACCTGGCAGATGTGATAAAGGCTATGGACCTCGATATGGGGAGATTATCCTGGAGGCCCCAATGTAATCACATGGATTCTCAAAAACAGAAGAGGAACACAGAAGAGTCAGAGAAGTTTGATGTAAGAAGGACTCGGCCACCATTGATGCCTTTGAAAATGGAGGAAGGAGACACAAGCCAAGGAATGCAGGTAATTTCTAGAATCTAAGAATGGTCCTTAGCTGACATCAAGGAAATGTGGATCTCAGTTGCACAGCACAAGGAACTAAGCTCAGCCAGCAGCCTGAATGAGCAAGAACAGAGACATTCCTCTAGAGGTTTCAGAAAGTAAGGCAGCCCCGCAGACACCTTTATATCAGGCTTGTGAGATTCTAAATAAAGACGTGGCAGTGACCACTGGACTTCTGACCTATAGAAAATGTCAGACAATAAATTTGTGTTTCTTTAAGCTTCTAAGGTTGTGGTAATTAGTTGTGGAAGAATACAGAGGGAATAGAAAGGGAATGTAGAGTAGAGAGGGAAATGTCTGTAATAAGGACCATCATGAAAAAACAAAACAATAAAGCCTTTAAGAGAAAAGCACCATGAGTAAAAGCCTTGCAGAGCAGGGCAAGCCTTAGCATCCGGGCCTGAATTAGAACCTGGAAGAGATCCCAAGAACTTTGCACGTCTGTATACAACTGTCACCTGCAGCGTCTCAGCTCCCCAGTTCTCAGGAGCCTGTTGTCTCTTGTGAAGCAGATGATTGTGGAACAATGGAAATAGCTTTGTTACTAGAGAGTCCACCAGCTGTGCTATGTGACTATGTTCTGAAAAATTCAGGGTAAGCATAGGTTTTTCTGTGACCTGTGAGAAAGGGAGGCAGATGCAAGTTGGAGAGACCAGCAGTATCATGGACAGTGGCTTGCATGACATCTTAGGCCTACTTAATGCTAGACTTCAAAGGAACAGGACTAAGAAAACTGGCAGAGCTACAGATAAACATTATGCTTATATGTGAGAAGCTCTCCCCATGCAAGGATTCCCGGAGTCCCAGAGTGAATGAATGGCTGGGGAGATCCCGGGATCAAATCGGGTGCTTTCTAATAGTGTCCACCTGATTTGATTCTGGGATCTCCTGAGCCATTCATTCACTTTGGGAATTTGGAGTGTAGACATGTTAGGAAGCACTTGTAAGTGTCTATTGTTGATAGCTGCAATCAAATTCTCCTAAGTCTGAAGCTTGTAGGCATTCGCCATATGTTTAATAATTTTATCTTCTATCTTGATAAAGTAGGTGGACATCAGAATTGTTCATTTTAATTGAGTACTTGTGCTGTTGTAAGCACATTTCATATATTAACACATTATTCCTTAGAAGAACCTTCTGAGATAGGCGTTATTCACTGTGGTTTACAGTTGAGGAAACTGAGGCGTGGAGAGACTGTGTCATTAGTCCAGAGTTGCATAGTTAGTATGTGGTGGCATTGGGATTGAATCTAGACAATATGGCTCCAGACACCATGTTTTTCACAGCTGTTGTGACAGACAGAATGAAAGCACCCCAAGGTGGCCACATCTTAATTCATGGACCCTACTAATATATTTTGCTACATTATAAAAAAAAAAAAAGGTTGCTAATTAGCTGACATTAAGATAGGCAGATTTTCCTGAGTTATATGTGAGGAACCCATGAAATCACAAGGGTCCTAAGGAGTGGAAGAGTGAGTCAGAGGGAAGATTGGAGTAATACGATTTGAGAACTCAATTCACCATTGATGGCTTTCAACATGGAAGGCATGCACAAGCCAAAGAATGCAGGCAGAGTAAAAACTAACGTCAGGAATTTGTGACCAGCTTGGCCAGCATGTGAAACCCCATCTCTACTAAAAATACAAAAATTAGCTGGATGTAGTGATGCGCTCCTGTTATCCCAGCTACTCGGGAGGCTGAGGCAGGAGAATCGATTGAACCCGGGAGGCAGAGGTTGCAGTGAGCCGAAATGGTGCCATTGCACTCCAGCCTGGGTAACAGAGCAAGACTCTGTCTCAAAAACAAACAACAAACAACAAACAAACAAACAAACAAAACAGCACAGAAACTAACTCCTCCCTAGAGCACTGGGAAAGCAACACAGCCCTGCTGACACCTTGATTTCAGTCCACTGAGACCCACATCAGACTTCTGACCTCTAGAGCTAAAAGGTAATACATTCGCAATTTTGGAAGCCACTAAGTTTGTGGTAATTCGGTACAGCAGCAATAGAAAAGTAATGACTCTGCTGACTACTGTTCCCAGATCATATCAGGGATTCTCAGAAAGATAACTCTCTTCCTCTCCATCCATCCTCAGTGATATGTTAAAAAGGATCCTGTTTGCCATACATATCGAGTCTCAATGTTATTATCCTACCAGCCACCACCACCTTCACTCTCTGATCAAATTATCACTATTTAGAAATTATGAAGCTGCCATTGCCAGAAATATCCTTTCTCTGAGTTCCCATATCTGGATGGCCACCACCCCAAGCTCCCCTCCAAATAATATAATTCTTTCTCTGGCTATCCAGGCATGGGTTCAACTCCCCAGTAAGATTGTTCAGGGTACTGAATTTAATGCTTAGGGCATTTCTCATTCTTTCTACATATTTTTCCTGTCCAAAGAGAAAACAACAGAAGGAAGGAAACCTATTGGCCACCATTTCTAAGACAACAGAGGATGGTTTTTTTCTGTCTGGAAGAAGACTCCCTCAACTTGCGTCTACTCAGAGCCACTAACTCCTCCTCCCACCCCATTTTTTTGATGGTGGTCAGGGAATGGTTAACTATCTTTGTTTACATGTGAAAACTAATTTAGTTTTAGTCAATAAAATAACCATTGTACGCCAGGCACAGTGGATCACGCCTGTAATCCCAGCACTTTGGGAGGCCGAGGTAGGCGATCACCTGAGGTCAGGAATTCGAGACCAGCCTGGCCAACATGGTGAAACCCCATCTCTACTAAAAATACAAAAATTAGCTGGGTGTGGTGGCGGGCACCTGTAGTACCAGCTACTCTGGAGGCTGAGGCAGGAGAATCGCTTGAACCTGGGAGACAAAGGTTGCAATGAGCCGAGATCACGCCACTGCACTCCAGCCTGGGCGACAGAGTGAGACTCCGTCTCAAAAAAAAAATTGTAAAAAGGAATATTAAAAATAGAATGTTTGAGATTGGGCATATTGGTCTCGCCCTAGAAGCTTTATGACAGAGCAAGGCACAAGAATGAAGCATCCAATGATCCTCAATAAGGACTCACTTTAAAAATGTACTTGCCTTGCCTCATTGACTTTGAGGAGAAGCCTATAGCCTCCAAGGAAAGTTTATTTACCTTTGTGCCATAGTGTTTGTTAGCCTTTTCCAATCTGCCAAGAGTGAAAATGAGAATCTCAGGAGTCTGCTATTTCTGACAGCGTCTACAGCAAACCAGATGGCATTGTCCCTTGGAACAGCTAGTGTTCATGTTTATGTCATCCTTGGTCTCTTAGCTTCTGAGCCATAGGTCAATAGTTTTACTCATTTCAACGTGGACCACACTTGCATTTTAGTGACCAGCCCGCAAGAATCCCACCAAAGAAGACTTGCTGTTTTACTCCCAGAAACACCCCAGTGTCCTTTAAAGTTCAGAAAATGCCAGAGGAACAACACTTTCACTAGACTAACTGTCCATTTACACTGAAAATGTCCTAATACATTTGGAAACCTAAAGCGAAGTAATCTGACCTCTTGGAGGCTTTTGAAATAATTGATCAAAGTGATAAAGATGTTCCACTAGCTACTTTACTTTTCTAGTTTGTCTTTCAATATCTTTGTCCCACAGTGATTTTCAAAAGAATTGCTTGAATTTGTCTAAATTTAGTGTACCAAAAAAAGGATATCAAATCTCATCCTAACTTCTTCAGACAAATAGCATCCAATTTATATTTTTCAGAGGTAGTCCGTGTAAAAGTTGGCTTTATCTTAAATATAGACAATCTATGAAACTCTGTATGGAAATAAAAGATTAATGAGGGTTATTTTTCACTCTTAGACAAAAATTTCCAATAGCAAATAATCCTGCAATTTGCCAAGGTCCCATTTATGCTTGCCATTTGAGGAGCAAAATATATCGTGTTAAACAAGATAGAGGTGGTATTACTGTATATTGCTGTATTACAATGTTTAATAAGTCTTTTATACTGAAATCACACAACCCTAGGTAAAAATTCTGGTTCCTAAAATTACTAGCTGAGCAAACATGGTCAGATTACTTAAATTCCTTTACCCCTTGTTCTAGAGTTTCTTTATCTATAAATGGATAGCAAGAGCAACTAACACGTAGGATGATTTAGACACAGCAAAAAGTAGGCATTCATCTGTTACTCTTAGGTTTCTAAACAATTTAATGGGCTTTAAGCAAATGACTCCACATCTGCATTGCAACAATAGATACTACCATTTCATTAGCACTATTATATGTAGTAATAGAAGGTATATTATTCAAAAATTAATATATTTTACTTCATTTTGAGGTAACTCTCTAACTTAATCAAACTTTCCTATTCACTAAATAATTTTTATAAAAGTAAAACCTAAAATTTATAATCGACGAATGAAAAAAATCTTAGATTTCCCATTACCGAACAGAAGTCTACTAAAATTTCAACTTAAAATCACAAGTCTATCAGTTACTTCATTATATTTTGATTAAAATATATTTTAAACTATAAGACTATCAGTCTACTAGATTAAATTTGTTTAAGCATCTCAGAAACATAAATTGCCTAAATGTGCAAATCCTTAGACATGAGAATCCAATTCTATAATTTCAGATATTATAGTTTTGATTTTGTTAAATCTTTTTGTTTGTGATTTTTCATCTGGGATTGAAAGACACATCGCTAGTCAGACAGGTCATTAGCATTCATTTAACTGGATTTTTTTTTTTATCATTGCTACTTACTTTTAATTGTCTTAAGATTGGAAGATTCATGGCCACTCAGGCAATTGCCTTTCCAAATAACAGAAGTTGGACCCCGTGATTTTAGCTTAGCCGGCAAGGTACCTGGAGCTGCAGATATTGTGGGCTTCAAAATATTCAAAAGTAGTTGGCCTCTTAGTTAATAAAATGTAATATCTTACCTGCTTTCATTTCTCAACCAGCCAAAACATTTGACTGGATTTTGCACTTTCTTCTTTGCATTTGAAGTCTTACATTCTTTCTCTATTTCCTTCCCTTCATCCTTTCTTTCCTTTCTTTCTTCTTTCTCCTCTTCCTCCTCTTTTTCTTTCCCACACAATCTTGCAAATACTCAAAAAGTCTGAATAAATTTTAGTGATCTCTATGATCTCTTATGGCTTTATGTGACTTGCAGATACAACTTCACTCCAAGGTCATTTTACAGACACAGAAGAGGATTCAAAACACAAAATTTAGAAAACTAGAGCAACTGCAAAGTTAGTAAATAAATGCTCAAATAAGTTTATTCATCCATGTAATGAAGGAGTGATAAAAGATGTTTTAAAGCTCTTTGGCAAAATCAACAGAAGAGAGAAATAATCATGAGTCTTGTAAGTATTGTTAAAAGTTGTTTTTTCCAAAAAACAATATATTGGATAAAACTGCCAAAAAGGAATAATCAAAGCTGAATAGATATGTAGATGCAAGCAAATACTTAACATTTATAGGAATGTATATAAACATGGACATTATATCTTATTCATTAGTGTTTCATAAAATTTTAAATGGCAAAATTCAAATTCAATGATTGGTTTCCAAGAATCTTTATTTCTTTAATTAAGAAGAGATTTAAAGTACCTCCCTTGAACTAAGCATTATATTTGAATTGCTTCATACTCTTCCTTCTTTATTCTGAACCTATCAATTTAGGTAAGTACAGTTACAGGCATACGTAAATCAAAAAGATGAGTACCCACAGCTACAGTTGCAGCTACAATTGTTGCATTAGCCATAAATGACCAAATATATTTAAAATACATTCTGAGCAATATAATAAGGATTAATTATATGTAATTTCTTTGAATCATTGTACTTGAGGATTATTCATACCTTATGTGTGTGTATCTTTCTATACATGTGAAAAGTCAACACACACACATACAATGAGAGACTTGAGTTCAGCTTATTTATTAGTCTTAAGGCTCCATCACTCTGATCATCACTGTTCTCACATCTTATCTACACTCTGGTATGGGCAGCAGCAGATTTATTTGTTCATTCAGGATACATTTATTGAGTATCTACTGCCCCTGGAGAACCGTGTTATATGCAGAGGATCCTGAGATGAATAAGATTCATCCTTTACTCCAAGGAGGTCTAATTTGGGAGAAGGACATGCAAGCAAATAGTTATGAAACAGTTTGATGCTGTAATGAGACATGGAGCAAGGCAAACCTAGATGTGATCAATGCTGTTTGGGGTGAAAGAGGACTTCCCAGCAGAAGAGTTGTTTGAATTAAGTGTTGAAGAATATTCTAGAGCCTAGCAAGTAGTCAGTGCCCAAGGTTGAAGAAGCCTATTTGAAGCAGAAGGAACAACATAAGCAAAGCCATTGAGACATTCAACAAATGCTTATTGAAATGGTGTCCTTACAATTGCGTTGGGGAGGGGCATGACTATATTAGTAAACTAACTAATTCAGGTGATTTTGCTAAGTGAGAAATGGCGTGAAGAAAATAAAGCACAGTAAAGTAACAGAGAAATATGGGGAGGACACTTAGCGTTTGATGGTGTGGTCAAGGAGAGCTTCTCCGAGGAGGTGACAGTTGAGACCTGAATAAGGAGTAAGAACCAGCCATGCATAAGCATGGAGGAAAAGCTACAGGAAGGTTCTGAGAGCAAAGTTCCTAAAGCAGAAATGAGCTTGGCTCATGTGAGGATCAGGAAGGTCAGTTGGGTTGGAGTGATTTGAAAGAGTGGGAGGATGGAAGGAGAGAAGGGGCAGAGGGTAGGCAGGAATCAGATCATAGAGGACCTTATAGACCAATGGATGGAATATGAACATCCATCCAGTGCAGCAGGAAGCCATTGGAGAGCCAAATAGAGGACTGACATGATCTTATTATTTTATCAAAATTCACTTAGGGGGTTGGGTGGAGGACATGTTTAGGGGAAGAGAAAGGGGAAAGGAGAGTCTCTTACAGAGGTGCAGAAAAAACATGATGGTGATTTAAGTTGGAGTGGTCGAGGCCAGAAGCAGAACAGCATATTTGGGACACTGTAAGTACTTATTATAGCTGGATATATATTAATTTTGATTATATACATGGAATGAGATGGAGATTAGTTGGGGTAAATTGACAGTCTCTGGGTTATAAATGCACTTTTTAATTGCATGGATGTTGAAATTGATTCTTTTGGCAATGTGAAAACATTAAAGTGTTTTAAGGAGAAAAGAAAAGCAATGGCATAATCAGATTTGGTTTGATGATAGTTTGGACTGCAGCAATGTGAAGAAGGAATTGAGAGGAGGGAGATTGGTGCTAGGAAGCCCAGATAGAACCCTAGGACACTGGTGCCTGTGAAAACGGTTGGGGGATTAAATGAAGGGATGTGTGGTAAGCATAAAGGGATCTAGGATGACACCCAGTTTTTTGTTTTGTTTGTTTAACGTTAGTGACTGGAATAGTGATGGCCTTCTTTAGTAAGATTTTTTTAAATGACAAAAGGGGATCAGGTTTGTGTTGGTGATATTGGATTTGGTGTCTTTGTGGGATTTGCAAGAGGAGATGTCTATTAGCAGGTACCTGAGCAAGGATAGATAAGGCAAGGCTGGAAATCCAATTTTATAGATGTAGCAAGGAGCTCATACACAAGTATTCATGATGGAAATGAAATACAACATGGGTATTGGAGGACATCTATCCAAGTGTCAATTCAGAGGAACAGCTCACAACCATGGGGAAATCGAAAGTGTTGTAAACACATGCAGAGCATGAGTGTTTACCAGTACTAGGTCAAGATTCTAGGCATGGCTGGAAAATAAGAAGAACTTTAAGAGAAGTTGATTAGTGGGTACAAGTATACACAGTTAGATAGGAGAAATGATAACTGGTATTCAACTGATCAGTAGGATGACTATAGTTTACGCTAATCTATTGTACATTTCAAAATAGCTAGAAGAGAATAATTTGAATATTTCTCAAATAAAAAGTAAATAAGGTGATGAATAGCCCAATTACACCAATTTATACATTATATGAATGTGTCAAACTAGCACGTGTACCCCCAAAATATGTACATCTATTATGCATCAATTAAAAAAGTAAAACTTTAGTTCTATACAGATTTAAAATCTTAATAATGTCAGTAATTATGAAAGTTTGAGCAGCTTCATTCCAAATTTAGGTAGTTTTGGATCAAGGATCTAGACACAAAATACAAGAGACTGTTACAAGTTGATATTAAGTGAACATTTTGGCTCAGCATGAAAGTTTTTGTATTGTTTATCTCCTTTAGGGAGGAAGCCATACCTTAGCATCACCAAGCCTGGCCCTTTCAGTGGACTGAGTGGGAGGACTTGGTTAGCAGAGGGAGTAAGGGAATGAAGAAAGAAGCAGTTTGAAACAGTTCTGTTTACATCAATACTTCTTAAGATGTGATCTGAGGACCACCTGCAGCAGAATCGCTGAGGATTTTTGTTGAAAATGATATTTATTACTGAATCCTACCCAGATCTAGTGAATCAAAATCCCTGAGAATAGGGCTGTGTCTCTATTGTCGTCAAGTCTTATATTTAGTACTCCCTACAACTTCCTTTGGGCCTGCCTCCAATATTTATAGGTTATCTCCAAATCCTGGCTTCTTAAACTCAATTCTTCTGGCATCCAGAGCATTTCACCTTTGGTAGGTAAACCAGGAAAGTTAACACAGAATACAGCAGTCAGCTTGGCCAGAGCAACTCTGCTCAGAACAATTATTGAACTCACACCTAAAATACAGATCTGAACTAGTAAAAGCCAAACCCTATAATTCACTTTGTAGTAGAAGCAACAAAGGACAGCACTGTCACTTGAATTACTTACTGTGGTATTATTTTGCTCTCAAGCTTACCTCTAATTTTATAATTTTATGTTTGCATGTAAAAAAGTCAATCCATTTATGGTACTTAACACAGTCTGTGGCACCTATTAAGTACGTAATACATGGTAGTTATCATTTTTTTCTTTCTTATTTTTGTTACAATTTGCATTTTGAGGGGAAAGTTGTGAACTTCGAAATTAATTTCTTTAAGGAAATTCTGAAATTATAGTACTATAAAAATAGTAAATCATAATTATTATAATAGAAACTTTATTTTAAAAACACTCTTGGTTATTGATTCCCTTTCTAAGACAGGGAAGTAACCAGAATCAAAAGGTTGTACAGACTGAAAAATAATTTTCAAAAATGTGTATTAATATTCAAAATGTATTATTTGTTTTAACATGTGAAACAGGGGAGGAGGATTCAAAGCAGAACATAGGAGGCAGTAGAACATTTCCCGAAGGGTCCCTGTCTCCACACAGGAGCTAACTGAACAGAGGAGGAATAGTGTTGCAAGGATGCTCAAATCAAGATCTGACGAATGTTGACAGCAAAACAATAATCCAGCTGTAGGACTGCAGCGATGATACAGTTAATCAAATGCATCAACTTCATAAATTCTGATATGTTCTGAGATGTCTGTTCCCTGAAGATAAGTCTAATAATCCTAACCTGATGTGTCTTCCAGGAGTCATAATGTGGCTCTGTTTAATGGGAAATCAGCTAGGAGGATATTTGCACTTGGAATTGGAAACTGTGGAAAGACATGGAGACAAACTGAAAATTCGTAAATTGGATGAGTTGGGAGACCCCACTGGTGCATGAATGCAAAAGAACCAGGGTGCTCATGTGTAGATCTTGCAAATATTTACTTTTCTTAGTTAAACATTTTTAGCTTAAAAATCTCAGATCTTTTTGGGGGGAAGCACTGTCTAAATAAAGCAGATGCAAGAAAACGGTGAAATAGTGTCTTTAGAATTAGAGAGGCTCTGTGAGGGATTAATGAGTTGACTTTCTCACCATCATACCCTCATCATCAATCATAGGAGTTGATAAACCCCAGGCCAAATCCAGTCTGCTGCCTGCCTGGTTTTGTAAATAAAGTTTTATTGGCACACAACCACTCTCATTTTTTACATATCTCCTATAGCTAGTTTTGTACTACAACTGCAGGGTTGAGTATTGCATCAGAGACTGTATGACTTGCAAAGCCTAAAATATGTACTATCTGATGCTTTACAAAGTTTTCTGACCTTGATCTTGTATACAGCCTGGCAAAGACTAAGAGTTCAACTATTCTTCAGTTAACTTAAAATGCATGTTCTCTATACAAGCTGGTCTAGCTGATTAACCTTTTTGAAACTCAATTATCCCCAATGCTAAAATGGGTATAAAATCAATCTTACAAAATTGTTGCATGTAGTAAGTACTTGCAACACTGTTTATGCATAAAACACAGTATTACATTCTTCCGTGTTCTCTCCTTTCATTTAATGGTAACCGGTGCTGCTTTAATCCAGAATAGTCAGTGGCATGCTGACTAGTGATTTTACAGCTTTCTGAATTTTTCAGACGTACCGAAATAATTTACCCTCCCAACTGAATCAACAGTTCATAATTATTTATTACTCTCTTAAAATGCATTTTTTCTTTTCTCTTCTGTTGTCTTTTTCTTTCTCTCCTTTACAGCTAAATATATGTTTTGCTATAAATCGAACAAGTCCTCTTTTTCTTTTTATATTTACCACTGGGGACCTAATTCATTTGATTTCTCTGGAAAAACACAATATCCTAAAAACCTGCATTGTCTGGATGCTTTGCTGTTAAAGCAGTAAAAACAGCATGGTAGTATATTTTAAGAAAATGTCCTAAATCCTGTAATTTTGGGTCATCCCCAATCTGCCAACTCTTTTTGAATGAATACAGTAGACCTAGGCTCCAAGGGAGCTGTAGATAATAAAAGGACCAATCAAAGAAAACACTTTTCTTTCATACCTTGGGAAAGCCAATGAACTGAAGGAAAGTGGCTTTGATGGCAGAATTTGGTGATGTGGCCCTCCCCTCAGCTTTCTGAGACAAGCCTGGCTTTCATCCTATGCTAATTTTGAAACAGGAAGAAACTTCTTTCTAGAACATTGTGTGAAGATATTCATGGGTGTATTAGTCCATTTTCACACTGCTGATAAAGACATACCCGAGACGGGATAATTTATAAAGAAAAAGAGATTTAATAGACTTATAGTTGCATGTGTCTGGGGAGGCCTCATGATCATGGCCGAAGGTGAAAAGCACGTCTTACATCGCGGCAGACAAGAGAGAAAAGAGAACCAAGTGAAAGTGGTTTCCCCTTATAAAACCATCAGGTCTTCTGAGACTTATTCACTACCACAAAAACAGTATGGGGGAAACGACCCCCATGATGCAATTATCTCCCACCAGGTCCCTCCCACAACATGTGAGAATTATGGGAGCTACAATTCAAGATGAGATTTGAGTGGGGACACAGCCAAACCATATCAATGAACAATATTTTATCAAAGGTATTGTAGGTGGGACGACTTCACATTCACCACCACCACCCCCATGATGTTTCACTTGACAAAACCCCTTGAAACACTTATTTTCTTCTCAATCTCCACAGGCTTCAGATAGAAAGTAACCCATCCTCCACTGGCTCTCCATCTCCTCGGAGGATGGTTTCCGCTTCCAAATCTTCTGCCTGGAACTCAGTTCCTCTCCATTTCTTCTTTACAAATATCTTGGTCCTTTCCTCGCTTTTAGCTCCACACCTGGTACCTGCAGTGACTGTTTAGTATGATCCTAAGTAAGGTTTTACTGAGGGGGAAGACGCATTTGTACTAAGCAAACAAAAGATCTTCCCCTGCTCAGGCCCCATTATTCTAACGGAGTAATTCAGGGTTATAAATAGCATCAATAACAAAAGCTTCTTTCTTCTTCTTCCCTGGCTCAAAGCCAGGTGGAGGCAAGCTTTGTTTTTGTTCTTTTTTGTTTTTATTTTTTCCTCTCCAGGAAAGGTAGATGGAGATAGGGAGGGGGGTTTCAAAACAGTGCACACACAATTTGATTTGACTGTGACTTTAGCAACATGCCAAGTTAAGAAAGACAATATCTTTATTCCAGGTTATGGAGATCAACTCCTAAAAGCAACAGCAGAAATAAAAATGCAGTGTTAACAGATTTTACCATTTACAGAGTCAATAGACTTCTTGTAACATATATATAAATGTGTTTATTCGTATGTTACAAGAAGCATTAATAAAAATTGCCTTTGAAGCCCAATTATGGTGTACTGAAATATTTGCCCATTAGAATTCATCCAAACAGTTGAAAATTTTTATTGTAGATGGTAAAATATAAATATTAGTTGAATTAGTATAATTATAAGCCAATTTGCCTTAAGACAAAAGTAGCCTATGTCTGTTTGGAATTCTATGAGATACAGACCATTGTGTTAAACAAGAAACAGAGAATGAAAGCTGAACAATTAAGAGAGTTGGGCCATGATACAAGGCGTTGGTTGCGCTAAGGACAAACTAAGTGTCTTCTAATGCAAATTTGGGGATTTATTGAAGTAACAATCCTCAACACTTTCTCTGTGCTTCAACACAAGTTGCTCTGGAAAGCAGGAGATTTCAAGTGGCCCCTGAAGCTGCTCTGTTTAATTTCTCACATGCTCCTGGGGATTCTCAGTTTTCCACTACCTAGGATAGGATTGAGGCTGAACAGAGAAGTCAGCACACGGTAGATTCTCAATAAATATTTTTTCAGGGACTAGATGGTACTATTTAGGTTTGTGCAAAAGTAATTGCAATTCTCTAATGACCAGTGATGATGAGCTTTTTTTTCATATGTTTATTGCTTGCATAAACTATAGTGAGATACCGTATCATGCCAATTAGAAGGGCTGTCATTAAAAAGTCAGGAAACTGGATGCTGGAGAAGAAGAGGAGAAATAGGAATGCTCTTACACTGTTGGTAGGAGTGTAAATTAGTTCAAGCGTTGTGGAAGACAGTGTGGCATTCCTCAAGGATCTGGAACCAGAAATACCATTTGACCCAGCAATCCCATTACTGGGTATATACCCAAAGGATTATAAATCATTCTACTATAAAGACACATGCATACTCATGTTTACTGTAGCACTATTCATAGTAGCAAAGACTTGGAACCAACCCAAATGCCCATCAATGATAGACTGGATAAAGAAAATGTGGCACATATACACCGTGGAATACTATTTAGCCATAAAAAAGAATGAGTTCATGTCCTGTGCAGGGACATGGACGGAGCTGGAAACCATCATTCTCAGCAAACTATCACAGGAACAGAAAACCAAACATCTCATGTTCTCACTCATTAGTGGGAGTTGAACAGTGAGAACACATGGACACAGGGAGGGGAACATCACACACTGGGGCCTGTCAGAGGGTTGGGGTGCAAGGGTAGGGATAGCATTAGGACAAATAGCTAATGTATGTGGGACTTAAAACCTAGATGACAGGTTGATGGGTGCAGTAAATCACCATGGCACATGTATACCTATGTAACAAACCTGCACATTCTGCACACATATCCCAGAACTTAAAGTATAAAAAGTATAATAAATTTTTTTTAAAAAAGTAATTGTGGTTTTTGCCATTACTTTTCATGACCAAAACCACAGTTACTTTTGCACCAACATAATATTCCAAATGGAATGTGCCAAATGTTGATTCTAAATATTAATATTCCAAATTGAAGGAAACCCTGAGACAGTATACTTCCATTGTGCAATTGCGCATTTGTTTTGTTTTCTAATTGCATTGTTGTTGAGTTAATGAACCCTGGAGCCAGATGGCCTAAGTTTAATTCCCAGCTCCAACATGTTTAATTATATATTTGTAGGCAAGTTGGTTACCTGCTTGTGCCTCACTTTACTCATCTGTAAAATGGAAATAATAATAGTACCTACTTCATTGGATTGTTATGAGGATGATGTGAAGTGATATGTGTTACGTACTTAAAATAATTCTGGGCCCACTCTACGTAAATGTTATTATTCCCTGTGTTTTCCATCCCATGTTATAAATATATTAGTCTGATTAGGATAAGCCATGCTGAGCCCCTAAATTAACCCCGAGTTTTCAGTCCCTTCAAGCAACAAAGTTCTATTTCTCATACATGGCCCACGTCTCATGCTGGGTAGTGGAGAGCTGAATTCCTCATAATTAACTGTCAATCTAGGCTGACGATGTCTCCTCCATTTTGGAAAAATACAATCCAGAATATGTGGCTTCTTGAGTCTCTAGGCAAGTGTTTGCTGGAAAGTCTTGCACCAGCAATTATGTACTCTGGCCTGGAAATGACAAGCTTTACTTCCACTCAGGGCTTCCTGGTCAGAGTCAGTCACATGACCCCACCTAGTTGTAAAAGGGGTGTGAGGAGAACTTGTGAATATTCAGTGAGCAGATCAGTCAGTGTCATTGCTCTGATGAGCCAACTCCCATATGTTAATTGTGTTTAACTCTATTTCTGATCTTTTAAGACCCATATCTTATTCATCTTTATTCCCCCCGCCCAGTGTCTAAATAAATGTTTCTCAAAGAAAGAAGGAAGGAAGAAATGTAGGAAGGAAGGAGGCTTGCCTTATCTTTGGAAACTCAACAATTGAGGTAGATATATGCAACAGCCAGAAAACTGAAAAAACAAAACAAAACAACCACAACAAAAGAAACTCAGACATTACAAAAGAATTAGCTACTTTAAAAAATGGGTTCACCTTACCGAAACAGAAAACTCAGAGAGTGAATATTGTTAACCAACATGTGATATACTCGACTCAGGAATAAATCTGTCACATAAACCAATATGCATCTATGAACAGAAGAAGGGAACAATGATATTTTTTTCTGTAATAGAAGCTAAAGTTCCTCTTCTGCATATTCATTCTTCCCAGTGTCAAGTGTTATTACTCTTTCGATTCTTGTCGAGCCTCACTTAAGACTCTTTTGTTCCATAAATGGATTACTCTTCAAAACCTAAAACCATTTCATACCAAAAGCCTGAATTAGACATTATTTTTATGCTGTCCTTCTTTCTTCTGAAAGGGAAAGTGAATAGAGAGGTAGAGATAGGACGAATTAAGTAGGAGTTGAAATACTGGTCCAATGTCAATCTTAGATACATTACCCGGTTATCCATCTCCTTACTCAAAAACAAAAATGTATTCAAAGTTACAACCCATTTAAAACAGTTATTTGGAATCTAGAATTCCTAATACTACCTTAATTTCTCTCCACTTATTTATTTGTAAGTTTAAAAAAAAAATGATGTAAAGTTGGTGGAACTCCTGTGATTCAAGAGGCACAATAGAGAGAGGATAGAGAAAGAAAAGGAAATTAAAACTTTTAAACCCTACTCTGTATGGACATGATATATGCAGGGAATTCAGTGTATTGGTAAAAAGCAAAGCTTCTAGACCTAGATTTTCTGAGCTGGTATTCCAACTTTCATGCTTGTTAGCCATGTTACTTTATGAAACGTACTTAATCACTTTCTGCATTCCTTTATTTTGCTCTAAAATAATGGGAACAGTAGTAACTACCTCACAAGGTTAAGTGAGGATTAAATTAGTTATTATATATAAAGTGCTTATTTTAGTGTCTGGCACATAGTATGTGCTCAATAAATATTGCTTATGGTTACTGGATGCTTAATTATATGATTTGTACAGGTTTATGTCATTTTGTATCTGAATGTGAAGGTTAGGCATTTTGCTCAAGGTCATGGAGCTAAGGAAAAGCTGGCAGAATTAAAACTCAGCTAACTTCAAGCCTTGGCTTTTTGTGGTGTACCAGGGACCTTGGTGCTAATGAGAAGGCCAAGAAGGAAGTCAGGAAAAGTGTAGAGTACTGGTTTCTGGGACCTGCATATATGTTTTTTTCTTAATAGACTTTATATTTTAGAGGAGTTTTAGGTTCCAAAAAAATTGAGTAGAAGGAATAGAGAGTTCCCGTATATCCCCTACCCCCCACCACACACACTTCTACCACTGTCAACTTCACACCCCATAGTGGTATATTTGTTAAAAACGATGACTCTGCATTGACAAATAATTATTGCCTAGTCCATAGTTTACATTAGGTTTCACTCTTGGTGTCATACATCCTGTGCATTATAACACAGGTGTAATGACATAGTAGTATCATACAGAATCTTTTCACTGCCCTAAAAATCCTGTGTGCTCTGCCTATTCTTCTCTTGTGACCTTGTGACCCATTGCAACCACTGATCTTTTTCCTGTCTTTATCATTTTTGCCTTTTCTAGAATGTCATATAGTTGGAATCATAGAGTCTATAGCCTTTTCAGCTTGGCTTTCCCCACTTAGTGTACACACTCAAGGCTTCTCCTTATGAAGCCATGTCTTTTCATGACTTGGTAGTTTATTTATTTTTCATGCTGAAAATAGTCCATTGTGTAGCTGTACCTCAGTTTAATTATTCATTTGCCGACAGAAACATGTTGGTTGCTTTTAAGTTTTGGTAATTATAAATAAAACTGCTATAAACATCCATGTGCAAGGTCTTGGTGGACATATGTTTTCAAATTGTTAGATTGTATGTTAAGAGTATTTTTAATTTCATAAAAAACTGCTGAACAGTCTTCCAAAGCAAATCTTATTTTGCATTCCCACTAGCAGTGAATGAGTTCCTGCTGCTCCACATCTTTGCCAGCATTTGGTGTTTTTGGTGTTTTGGATTTTGGCCATTTTTGGTTTTAATTTGTACTTCCTTAACGACATATAATGTTGAACAACTGTTGAACAATATGCGTCTTTGCCCTTCATTGTCTTTTAATTTCTACCTCTAAACCTTTGTGGAGACTGTATTTTGCAGCACAGTACACATTTCTTTTTGCCTTATGGAATTACGTGTTCTTCTTTTGTGACAAGTATTCTGACAATTTCTTTGAAAGAACCATCTCTTCTCAACTCTTAGACTCTGAGTTTCAGATGGAGTGGATTCTGTCCTTTTTCTTATTTCAGGAGTGAGCAAAGAACAACCTTTTAATCAGAGTAATTGCTTCGGAAAGAAGTACCTGACTTTTGGAGCCAATGATACCCAAGGAAACGTTCACTGATGTTGTCAGGACTTTCTTTCCTACTGAGTTTGAACCTGGGAGAACATAAGGCCAGAGTTACTTCAGTCAACTTGTCACCAAGAGGCTGGAGGAAAAGTATTTGTAGCACATTTACTCTAGATATTGCATTCTGAATTGAATATCTTTATTGAGGAGTTTATGCTACTTAGATTCTCAGAACTGCTTTAATTCCCATCTTTAGTTTAAAAGCCTGACCTTTCTATCCAGCCACTATACTTTTCAAAATCCACACGATTAATTGTTTTTCTATTTAAGGCAGCCAGTCCATTTCTATTATATATAACTAAAGATGTTATTTGATAAAGCACATGTGAAATATCACATTTCAAGTTGTCTCAATTTTAGAAGACAACTAGTCTCTTACAAGAAATCATACCATTGCCTTATTTATAAATAGAAAATATTCAGTGTGAATCTCTTGACCAGAAAAAGTGAACTTCAATTTCTACTTTCCATTTAGACTTTGATTGTATTCCAGTTGCCTCATTGGTGAGGTAGCCTTAAACATGATAAACCCTGAAGGAGATGGCTAATGAGTGTTTCATTAGTCAAATTCCAGACTCCAGCAAGCATCCTTGCTAAAGCCGTTCGCCGTTGAGATTGGTTGTGGAAAAAAATGCCATTAGTTTGAAACTTCGTTAACTTGAACTTCTGCAGAAGACACGCAGTCTGTGCAGTTTCCTCTAGGATGTTCTCTTGGCCTGGAGGCAACCAGCTTGGCTGGGCATGGAGGAGACAGCTCTCATTTCATTAGGTATTTATGCAGTGGTTATCATGATAGCAGCCAATTCATTACAGAAAAGGCCATATCCAATTATTCTGAGTCAATGAGGCTCCAGCGACAAGGTAGTCCATGGGGAAATTGAGAGTAGGAAAAGGACTTTAGATGAGAGCATTTATTGTTCCTCTGATGAAGAAGGATGCCAAGAAGCAGCTTCCCATTTTCCCTAAAACTCAACCTGTACTCCTCCTAAATTCCCCCATGGTTCCATATTCCCTGGCCATTTGACTTGAAGGAAAGAGAAGAGTGATCTCCTTCTTCTTTAAGTGCCAAGTAAATAGGAAACTCTGTAGGAAATGAAATATTGACATAGTGATCATAGCAATACAGTATAAAAGGATTTTGCTTATATGTCCATTTCCATTATGGCTTCCTTTCAGTCAAAGAGAATCTTATGGACTTTCTACATATTTTATGTCTAAGCTATTGTGAGTAGTGATTAATTTGGAATGTTAAAGACATACGGTATTTACCTCCTCTGATTGGCCTTTTTATAAAATTTCATAAATAAGGTTAGTGATACTCAGCACTAGCCACTCATTAAAATTGGTTTGTAACCAAGACATTGGTATTATTTTAAAAGTTCCCTAAGGAAAGATAGTGGCATCCAACATAGAGTACCACTATAGCCTTTCTAGCTATAGTACTAGCCCAGATTTTTACATATTTACCATTGGTTTTACCAATTGATTTTCATGGTTATCAGGTGATCATTACATTATGCAAAACTTCTATTTGTTAAGTCTAATGTTATTAGTAACAAAATTATCTTAATTAAACAGAGGCATTGGTGTGTGTGTATATGTGTGTGTGTATATATATATTACTACATAGTAAAATATATATATTACTACATAGTAAAATATATATATTTTTTACTACCTATATATATTATATATAAATATATATAATATATAAACATATATATGTTTACTACTAATATATGTATGTATGTACTACTAATATATGTGTGTGTATATATATTTTACTATGTATATATATATTTTACTATGTAGTTATATATACACACACATATATTGGTAGTACATACATAATACATATATTAGTAGTAAACATACATACATACATATATTAGTAGTATATTAGTAGTAATATATACATACATACATATATATATTAATAGTAAACATTTTCTGGAGGAGAACTTGCTTCATAAGTCAGAGGCAGGTGAAGAAAACAAATTTGGAAATGGAAAAATAATGAAGATCTGGATGTGAATATAATTCCAGCAAGAAATCAGAAAACTATAAATGTTTACTATTAATGGGGAACTGTTCGGTAGATCAAATTGCAAATTTAAAAACTTAGCTTAAAAGGCACAAAGTATAGCATAGGTAAAAATGCATGAAGAACATATTTGTATATTTCACTGTATTACCGAAAGCAGTTGCTTGTTGTAAATATTGTCTTCCCCTAGAGACGTTTAGACACAACAATTTGTTCCAGATATGGCATGAGCCTAAATGTCTCTAACGGAACACAGTATTCTAAGGTTCTAAATGTGCACTACAACCTCTAAGTAAGATAAAAAGAAACCAGGTGTAATCACAGGCCTATGACCTTAGATATTTTCAATATCAAATCATCAAATATAGAGATTTCCTTCATAACATTCCTAGAAGTGGCCAACTGACAGCCAAATAGAAAAGAAGATAAAAAATTCCAAATATAAGATTTTGCCTGGACATCACAAAGCCCAGCCATGTGGGACAAACAAGGAATTCTGGCTATATATATGGCTTAGAGCAAAAAACCTACAGGATTTCCTGCACTAAAGTGAGGGCCATAATGTGATGCCCTCAGCTCTAAGAAGCCACCAAGCACTGACCCTTCCTGATGTACACTGTTTCTTTACCAATATCCAGTTAGACTTATGTATATAGTAAATGCCCTCTAATATTTGCATAGTTATGATTTCTATAATTATACATTATCTTTTGTGAATGTGGTTCCAATTTCTAATTAAAATGCTAAGCATGAACATATCAAAGCATCATTCTGTATACCATAAAAATATAGTTTTTATTTGTCAATTAAAAAATAAATAGGCCAGGCCCAGTGGCTCATGCCTGTAATCTCAGCACTTTGGGAGGCCAAGGCAGGCAGATCATCTGAGGTCAGGATTTTGAGACCAGCCTGACCAACATGGCGAAACCCCATCTCTACTAAAATTACAAAAATTAGCCAGGCATGGTGGTGGGTGCCTGTAATCCCAGCAACTCTGGAGGCTGAGGCATGAGAATTGCTTGAATCTGGAAGGCAGAGGTTGCAGTGAGCTGAGGTCACGCCACTGCACTCCAGCTTGGGCAATAGAGCAAGACTCCATCTCAAAGATAAATAAATAAATAAATAAATAAATAAATAAATAAATAAATAAATAAATAAAAATTTTAAAAGAGGAAGTGGGAAAGACAAAAATCAATACTAGCACAATTATAAGTGAAATGGTATTTCTGTTCTGGCTTCTCTCCTTTCCTCTTTCCTAAATAATTACTACCAATAATTGCAATTGACTTGCCTTTTAATTTTGTGTATGGTTTGTTCTTTTTTTTTTTTTTTAAAGTGATAACTTGTTTTTTTTTTTTATTATTATACTTTAAGTTTTAGGGTACATGTGCACATTGTGCAGATTAGTTACATATGTATACATGTGCCATGCTGGTGTGCTGCACCCACTAACTCATCATCTAGCATTAGGTATATCTCCCAATGCTATCCCTCCCCCCTCCCCCCACCCCACAACAGTCCCCAGAGTGTGATATTCCCCTTCCTGTGTCCATGTGATCTCATTGTTCAATTCCCACCTATGAGTGAGAATATGCGGTGTCTGGTTTCTTGTTCTTGCGATAGTTTACTGAGAATGATGATTTCCAATTTCATCCATGTCCCTACAAAGGACATGAACTCATCATTTTTTATGGCTGCATAGTATTCCATGGTGTATATGTGCCACATTTAACACATGGATTAAGAAAATGTGGTTTGTTCTTATGTGCAGAAGTTTTAAATTTTCATGTAGACGCTTCCATCAATTTTTTGTTGCATGTAATTTTTAAATTATCTTTATCTCTGAGCAGCATTTTTCTTCCTGAGATCAAATTAAGCCATTCAACCATATTTTGCTCTGTTCTGATTGATTGATTATTGACTATGTTTTACTCTCTCTTCCCTCCTACCTTCATCCCTCCTCCCCATTATAATTTCTAATGCTGGTTTCTATTTACCAAAGACTTACTATAGAGCCAAGTATTGCCCTGAGAATTTTACATCTTATATCATCTACCCACCAGCCCTGCATATTATTATTGTTCTCATAAAAGTTAAGAATTGCTCAAAAGTGTTATGAAATTAAGCAGATGTATTTTTCCAGCCCAAAACCTTTGGTCATAACTATTATGCTATTCTCCCTTATTTGTCGTTGGTTGCTTTTGTTGTTGTTCATTAAAAGATTTTGTACTTTTGGCCAATAGCTCATTTCAAAAATATTGAATTGTTTATTTCTATATCTCTAAACTCTATAATAATATCCTAACATATGGTGTAACTCAGGATGCCATGAGTTGGAACATATAAATCTGAGAGCACAGCTTCCTTCACAGAACACAGCAACTGTCTTTCTTTACATTGTTGCTGTTGAGGAGTTATTTTAAATTACAAGAAATTTGGTATTGTATCTTTCAAGGTAACCTGTTTTTTTTCCCTTTCAGCTTGTTCACAAGTCTCATTTCCTAGCTCCATTTCCTACATACATGCAGGCCCCAAGGTATACTAAGTAAGCAAATTATGTTGGCTGGTAGGTGTTCAGAAGTAATTTTGAACACAAATGATTCCTGTTTTAGCTTGAACACACTAAATGCAAAGATTCTTCAGATGAGAACAGCCTGAGTAATGGCTCACTCAGTAACAGACAATTCTTGCACTATTTGTCTCAAATGTTGACATGGCATTAATGCTGCTATGGAACTAGATTTTTCAAAATATCTGTGACTGAGAACTGGACAAATTATCCTGTTTCAGGTCTTGGTGTAGGTGCACTTAAGGGCATGCATCTGTCTTGATGTGTCAAGAAAATGTCCTCTTAAACAAGGTGTGGGAATTCTCACCAGCTGGCTCCAGTAGGTTGTGGGGCAATAAGGAGGGTGGGAGAGATGACTTGGCATGGAAATTGGTGCAAAATCTGCAGTGCTAATAGATAACAGCTGGAGAAGGTAATGAGTCATTTTATGAGGACGAGGTGAGCCGTGTTTGTGCCAGGTCCGGGGACCACAGTGGCAAATGTGGTACAGACGGCAACCTCAGAATCCGAGAATTCTAATTAAGGATGAGAAAGGAACAGGGCACTGACAGGCTGTCAGCAGAAGAGCAGAGCACTCTGACCACAAAACCACTCGGAGGTTCCCACTCTGTCTTTGCTCTTTCAGAGATAATAAACGGATCACATTTTTAATTCCTGCAATTTTAGGGTAAAGTTAACCAGCAATGGGCATTCAGCCCAGAAGTGGCAGCACAAGTTAAGAATTTTATTCTTGATTTTTACAGTCCAATGTGTGTACACAAACACTCTGCTCCTTGCCCTGGTATCTATGGAGTAGCAGGACTTTTTTTTTTCACTCTGTTAAGAAACACACACACACACACACACACACACACAAACACACACACACACACATTATTTAAATTGCAGAATGAATATATGCAATGCAGCATTTTAGAGGGAGTCCAAGGAGTTGGAAAACCACTGGACATCATAGATCAGAACTCTTGGCAAATTGTAATATTGCAATTTCAATAAACTCATAAGTTTTTCCTTCCCATTCATCTTATTTTAGTGGAGGCCTCATACAGCCATGAGAGCCTCATGCTCTTTGAAATGAAACTAAGGGGCACTCTAATCATAGATTGTTGTTTCTTCCTTTCTCGCTTCAAACACCAAAAAAAATATTTTATGTGCTAGTCAGCTCTTTCAGTGACTTTCCTCTATGACACCTTAGCTCTTGTTGAATCTCTATATAGAAATAAAAATTGTCAATTAGGCCTGCATATTTGTCTTGCTAGAATTATGCTTTCACCTCTTTCAAAGAAATAGAAGATTAAATATGCAGCTTTCTTATAAGCACGTGCCTTACAATGATGTTGAATTCAATCATGGGGTTGGATTCAGGAGTTCTTGGAATACAAACAACTATGAACAAAATTACTGAGAGCTCCATTCTCAAGAAGCCAAAGTACCTGTTTAAATTATTTGTGCATAATAGTGATGATCAACCTTAACAAAATTATCCAGGTCTTTTAAAACTCCAACCAATCAATGATAATTTCTGTTTTGTCTAAGAAAACTTGTGAGAATAAAATGAGAAATTAAAAGGTAAGTCAATACTTTCTATGATGGAATACTTAAAATAACCAAACGAGATATCTTATATATGTTGTTTGTTCTCTTGCATTGTTACAGAGAAAAAAATGAGACATCCATGATCCATAGTTACCAAGATGGAAACTTGTGTCAAAGAATAAATACTCTTCTCTTCTCCAACAATAGCCACATTCTGAGGATTTCACAAAAAAACAGATGTTATCTCTTTGCCGATTTTTCCCTTCCTTTTTCTTGGCATAATTGTCATAGTGATAATTTCAATGCTTCTCTCTGTCAATGACTTCTAAGTCAGATCCCTGATTTTGTCATCCAGAATTCAGCCTGAATTCTGTTACTCCTGTATATTTTCCCATGACTATCCCTCTATCACTTTGGTCTCAGTAAGTCTGAATTCACTTACAGACAACTTCCAATGCAGCACCGTAGAACTGTATTTGTGGCTTTCAATGGTGCCTCCCTTCGCCAAGTCATTCAATTAGAACAATTTATTCTTTCTGTTAATTCCTTTTCTTCATATATTGGACATTATCAGAGTTAAAAGGTGCCTTTGAGAATATTTTAGTGCAGTCTGCTACAAATTCAGGAATCTCTTTCAGAATGTTTCTGATAGATGTTAAAATAACTTGCTTTAATTGCACACTTGCAAGTATTAAAAGATAAAGGTTTTTAAAGGTAAAATCAAGACTCTCATACAAATATAGAACAAATGCACATCTCAAAAATTTTATTTAACTCCAGAATTACTGAAGTCACCAGTAAGATATTATAATTGATTCAAAGTGACTCTCAAAGAACCACACATTCTAGGCAAATCTAGAATGCTAAAAAGAATTTACACGTACATCCAAAAGGAGTTATAGGGCAATCATAATTTAGACACCACAAATTTGCACTTCAATAGACAAAAGTGATTTGCATTATTTTCAGTTTTTTTAATTTACGTAGTTACAAAATATCTCAAAGACAATAAAAGCTTGAGATACCCAAAAGGCTGCATCACACAGGATAGCCAGTGGCTTTTGTTTTGTTTTGTTTTGTTTTTGTGTTTTCTTTTGGTCTATTTCAAAATATTTCACAATTTTTCTTTACACAGGTAAAAATAAAATTGTTGTGAATAGGCCATTTTCTTTTTTGACCTCATACTGTCAGAAGGTTTTCCTAATACAGAAGTAAAATGTTCATTCCTATAACGTTCCTCCTTGTTTTTCATGACACCTATTAGGGTAGCTCAAATGATTTTAGATTCTCTGAGTAATCCTTCAATAAATGCAGGCACTATTTGTCCCATATTTCCTTCCTTTTTCTTTGTTAAATATTGTCAATTTTTTTTAGCTTTTCTTTATATAAGACATTTTTCAAACATCTAAATACCTGAATTAGTCTCCTCCTCTTGACAAGGTATAGTGTTCTTGTGTGTTTTACCCATTTCTAAGTATTAATACATAGACGTAGTGGTTCTGCACTGAGAAATATTCAGCAGATTAATGGGATACTTACCTGCCTTGATTGGACATTGTTTCTATTATGTAGCTTAAAATTATAAGACCTAATTTTAAGAGAGAGAGAGGATCAGTTTTGTCTATAAGCATAGCCTTACTGATACACTGGTCCAAACATGTTGTCTAGTTCCCTTCTCTACAAAACAATAAACTAATAACATGTACTGTGCATTGAAGATAGTAATGACCCATTGGGATCACATGTTAAACTTAGGAGATATGACACACCATACAATTAAAGGTTATTTTTAATATATGTATATCTATGTCACACAACTTCAGTATATGCTGAAATAAACATCCCTAAACCTTTTATTTTTTCTTCCTCCCTTCATTCATCCTTTCTTTGCTTTCTTCTTTCCTCCTTTCTTTATATGAGATTCCTGACAACCGGCCAGCTTCATGGATATACAACCTGTCTGGTTGCAAAGGGCCACATACTTAGAAGGACCCCACCCTTATTTTAGCCTCTTGTGTCACTGTCTTGAGATTATTCATACTCTTTAAACAAGGGGCCCTGCAATTTATTTTTCCCCAGACACAGCAAATTATGTAGCTGTTCTTTCTTGCCAAATAAGGTCTATGCCATCCTATTCACAAACAATTGATTCCTTGATAGCTATTCTTTTCTTCCCTTCCCACACCTACTGAAAACACTTTAGAATAGGTTTCATCCCTTTCCAACCAGAACGAGTGAGACACCAGCTGCCTAGCTATTCACCTAGCTATTCACTCCTCCTCTAGTTTTTTTGGCTCACAGAACCCAGTTAATCCTTTAATATACTTTTTTCATAATACCACTTTTATACTAAAACATCAAGACAATACAAGCTCTAAATTTTGCTGGAAATGCTAATAGTAATCTTTTCCTACCCTCTGATTTGCCCTTCCTTAATTCTAGTTGCTCCTTCCAAATTTTATTTTTAATTTACATGGCATCATCACTAAACCAAACCATGAATATCTTATAAAACATCTTACTTTTCTAGCATCTTATGAAATTCAATTCATTAATCTAATTCTTCAACTATTTAACAAATATTAACTAAACAGGTGCTTGGTGGTAAGAACTACTCAATTAATGGCAACAATGCAATGGAGAAAAAAACATACTTGGTCCCTATCCTCTGCAATTTACAGCTTAGAAGGGGGGACAGTTTTTAATAAGTTATTACTCACTTGTGAAGAGTGTCATGAAGGAATAAAATTGGGGACTATAAGAGAGAATTAAAGGAAGCATAATTTGCCTTCTGTCCTTTGACTATTTAAACCTCATACATAGTTCGAAATACAGAGAAGCAGCTGCTTCTTAAATGTAGCTTCTTGTTTCTTATTTTCCTTGCTTACGGTATTTAGTCTGCTTATCCAATTCAACCCTTTTGCATTAATATTTTATTTCTTGCTTCCCCAGTTAGATTGTGGTCTAGACTATGCCTCATATGCTTTTTTTGCCCTTTAAGGCTCAGCTTAGCTATTACCTTCTCTAGAACCCTTGCCTTACTATCCTTTTCTCCAACCCTGAACATGTATATATATATGTACATATATACATACACATGTATATATATACATGTGTATATGTACATGTATATATGTATATATACACATATATATGTATCTATACATATATGTATAGATACATATATGTATATGTATAGATACATATATGTATATGTATAGATACATATATGTATATGTATAGATACATGTGTACGTATATATGTATATGTATAGATACATGTGTACGTATATATGTACATATATATATATATACACACCTCCATTTTTGTGCCCCTACAGCACTGAGTCCAGGATATCCTAACTGATTACTTAGACTATTTTATAGTAATCTGGTTTCTTCTTTTCGTCTCTCACTATTGCATTATTTCCATTTCCATATGATTTGACTTTCTTTTATCTCTATTCCCAGTGCTCACCATGGCACCAGGCTCAGAGTAGGAGATACTCATCTGCTTCTGAATGGATGAAAAGATGATTAGTTCTACCAGGCCTGCTGTGTCTCTGAATTTAAATATTGAGGAATAATCCAAGTGATGGTTGCAGAATCCTTATGTCGTAGTGACTTATTACTAATTACAAATACTATGATATACAAAAAAATAGGAACATTTACACAATTAGAAAATAAAATCCCATTCTTGGCTAGGTATCTGACAGTATTCTCTAGAGACAGAGTAGATTTCAATTACAGTTAGGGTATAATGTATTGTTATTGTTCCTTCCATTACCAGCTAATTTTTTTTAGAGTACCTCTGCTGTGGTCTGGGATGCTTTTAGTAGGGTTTGGGATCACAGCTCCCTATAAGTAAAGATATAGAAAGTAGAAGTATCCTGCATATGTATCTGAAATATAGGTAATTCATTTCCTGATGTGGGGCATGGGACACTTAGGGTTACAATCCTGATGTATCTGGAATGGCCTTACAAGCCATCGGAGAAGGAGGAGGTAAACCTCACATACCTAATTAGCATCAAAATCTTTGCATTTTCTCCTTTGGTTTAAGGTTGCCATCTTGAGGGGAGGAGGGAAGATCAGGGATAAGTTATTGGGATTTAAACATTTATTCAGACTTTCCTCACCATAACAACCTTTGATTTGGTAATTGCCTAGCACCCATAGCCAGGTTTTCTCAAAGTTAAATACATGAAAAGTAGATCATTATGATTTCATTGGCAGAATCTGACCACTATCTACATAGATTTATTTTATTTTATATCTTAAAAGAAAAATAATGTTGGTAGTTATTTTGTTTTAATGAGGAAATAACTCTTAGCCAAGATATGACATATGTCTTTAAATATTTAAGGGCTCTCACATGGAATAATTATTTTAGTTTTACTATTTGACTTCAAAGGGGATAACTAAAATCAATAGATGGAAGCAACAGGAAGCTAGATTTTAAGACAATACCAAAGAAAGGGAACATTTTATTAGTTAAACATACAAAAATGGAATGCAACTGATTCATGAAGTATTAAGTTCTTTATACATGGAGGTGCTCAAATAAACATTGGTTATGTAAGCATTTAACAGGGCTATATGTATTCATATGCATCTCTTTGGGCAAGATGTGTGTTAACTGTTTGCTAAGATTTCCTCCCACTCTGACAATATTTCTGTACCCTTTCTCCAACTAGTGAAGGCTGAAGAACCAGTTTCTTATACTATGAACATGGCAAACACAATGGTTCTCTTGGTCATTCCTATGCTAGTTCACCCATGACCTGACCCAATATCAGAATGGAGTTGTCCTACTGCAGGTCAGCTGCAGTGAGTTAGAAAATCGTCTGGGATAGAATAAGCACTTAATACATGTTAGCCATTATTACTGTTGTGGTTTTTGTTGTTGTTGTTGTTTGCAGGGAAGAGCACATTTCCCAAGCTCTAACTCTTCATTTACTCAGCTGGATCTGCCAACACAACTGAAGATAAGACTGTCTTTCTATTTTGAAAATTGACACCTGAATGCAGAAATTAAATGGAGTGATGTAAAGAAAGAGTGATGGGTTATGTTAAAATGAAAAGTGCACTTTATGGTTTATGTGGTGTTTTTATATCCCTTACCTCATTTGTGATTTTTCCAGTAGCTTCAGGAGATAGGTCAGGAATTATCATTCTGTCTCTGACATGAGAAAATGGATAGCTAGAGTGGCTGTGTGGCATCCACAAAGTTACTTATACCCAATAGTGCGGGATTTTAAACACATCTGCCCTCAGATAATAAATCCAGGGCTTGATGTAAAATCTAACCATCTACATAGCATATACACAAACAACAATGGTGTGCCATCTCTAGTTGGTGTTGATGTCTTAATTCCTCAAAGTAGATGCAAAGCAGTCCTTGGTGGGTAATAACTTCAACCTTCTTGAGAACAAAGATAGTTTTGTTGATAAGTGAACACCATTTCACTCCTGGCTAGCGAGAATAAGACTACAGCTTTTGCTTTTTGTTATAAATAATGGTCCTAATCATACCTTGTGGGAACTACTACTTTAAAATGATAAGGCTGAGACTTGATACCTTATTCCAATTAAAAAATAGCCTGAGTTCAGAATAGCACACACATAAGTGATGATTACATTTTTTCCTTTCCCTTACTATGGAAGAATCCAGGGGTTATTTTAGTATCAGGAGAACCATATTTTTATAAATGGACTTGGAAGCTAAACATACTTTCTCTTCAGTTACCAACAAATTTTGACAAGTGACTAATGCATCAGGCTCCATCCTATCAGTTTTGTTTGCTCTTTCTCTTGTTCTTTGTCAAGAGTCTTCAATAAATTGATTAGTATCAAAGGGAAGATCTTAAATCTTGGAGCTTTTCTTTTTGGAATCTTTTAATTCAGTTCCTGTCACACCTTCCTTTGATTTTTAAAAAAATCTCCCCTTAACTGTTCTGGGATCTCACTGCTGCTCCCACACGCCTAACACCCATCCCCTCCACATTCACCCAAAGGGAGACACTGGGGGAGGCAAGTGTATGGAATGTCTTTGCATTTAGATGCTGGAACTCTGACATCATCTCTTTTATTCATAAGTTTATTCAACACATATATTCTGAGCACCTACAATGAGCCAGACTCTGGATATGTAGAGATAAATTAAATCTACGATCCCTCTTCTTATGGAACATATAATTTAAAAATGAATACACACTTAAATAAATATATAATTAAGTGTATAATTAACAATTGGAAATGTGCTATAAATGAAAACTACAGGATGATACTAGAATAGGTCAAGTTTTTTATTTTGCCTTTTTTGTCCCAACATTTATGTAATGGAGTTCTTAATTCATTGCTGGTTCTTAATTAATTGCTGAGAAAATTAAATCACACAGTGTGGGTGAGTGCTTAGTATAGTGTCACACATATGCATTATCCTTAAACAGTATCATTATTGTTCATAAAAATCAGTTTCTCTTCTTCACCAAAGGATAGAGACTCTCTTTTTAGGCAAGTATTAATTTTATCAATGAGTATTCTTTGGTAGTTGTTCAACTTAATTATAATCATGATCCATTGTAGTCTTTAAAACTGATAAACATCATACATATTTCTTAATTATACTTCTCTGTTCCATTATCTCAAGGTTTTGTTTTCCCTCCAACACCCTCACTTCATGAAAATAATAATCAATAAATTAAGCTTCTTGGAATTTCCTCTCATTTCTAATTTCTGCCATAATGGATTTTATACACTAAGACTTCTATCACATATTCAAGCATAATTGTTTTTGCGGGCAATGCTTCCTATAATATATGGGTATTGATGAGTTTTCAGGCATATTTTTCACTTGTCCTGACAATCTATCAGTTTGGCATTTAAAGAGCAGAGAGGATGCTTCAGATCTGCCAAGATCAATGACTCTCATTCTCATGACACAGTGAAATATATGGCAATTTCTTTCCTTTGTTTTCACTTCATTTCAGTTGTGTAAGTAGTATTTATTTTATTTTATAAAAGTAATTTAAGTCTTGATGATAAACTTTGCAGCAAAAATTTGATTTATAAGTAATTGGATTGAGATAAGAATGTCCTGATTATTCTATTCATTCAGTGAAGCATAGTAAGTAGGATCTGGGGATCTGAAGCAGAGTTCCTGGACCAGGCCAGGTCTCTACCGACTTGGGAAGTGGGCATGCAGCATAAGCTCTCTGAATGTCAGTATCCTCATGCAGAGGATGGAGATGAGAACAACACCCACCTCATAGCACTGTCATGAGAAAAGTCAGTTACATGCCAAATGCTTACCCCAGCACTGGGGTCACTGAACATTCTATACTTATTAATGATTACTGTTATATGTTCCAAAAATGTTTATGAAACAACTATATTTGGCAAATCCTGTGCTAAGTGTAAGTATTCACTATGTTAAGCTTTTTGTTCAACTGCTATTTTTGCCTTGGGCCACTTGCTTTCTCCACCTCAGTTTTTTTCCTACAAAAATGAAATAAAATAAAACTCAGCCATTCATAAGAAATGGTTACGCTTGCTTGGAGAGGATTACGTATATTGCTCCTCTACAAAGCTCAAACGTTTTCAAGAAGTTACTTCATCTTCCTTCAAATTCGCACTTTTCTCCCTCTCATCACTATCAATCTTTCTTTGTGTGAGTGTGTTCCTTCCAAGTTTTTATTCCAGCACTAAAGTGTAGTGGAAAGAAATCAAGCTTTGAAGGTTGACAGACATAGGATTGAATTTAGAATTTTCCCTCACTGGTTGCATGGTCTTGAGCCACATGTCTCTGAGTCTGAGCCTTGCTCTCTCTAAAGGGGGAATAATGCCAGCTAATTGGTTATTTTGAGGATTAGTAATAATTGTAGGTGCTCAATTAATTTCCTTTTTTAAATTAATTTGGCCAATTTGCTGTCTATACTCTCTAAATTTTCACTTAATTATATTCTGGCTTGTCAGTTTCCTAAAATCTTAATGTGTGTGTATTAGATTTGGCTTTAAGTTTTTGAAGAATGATTCTGTTATGGTATGCAGATTCTTTATGACTAAAATAATTTTGGTAAATTTGTACTATAATTTAGGTTGAGAAATTAGTTGCCCTTTATGAATTAAAAAATTAAAACCTGATTACATTTTTCTAAATTAATTTTGTTTTCAAAAGGGAAACAAAACTTTTAGGTCTGAGATTTATGTTTAAAAATGTAAGCAACCTAGGAAGAAAAAGACACTCATTTAACTTTATTCTCACTGAAGTATAAGCGTTAATGGGAGAAGGAAAATTAAAATGAGGGTAATGATTTTTCCAACTGCTCATGTAAAGGCAGGCTACCTCAAAGGTTTGGTTGTAGCTAACCATGGGCTATGCAGATTGCTGAGCAGTAAATCCTTGTTTACTTGTAATATAAATCTTATGTTATTATTCAAATTAAGTTCATTGAGTGCCTGCTATCTGCCAGGCATTGTGGAGACTCATGGGGATGAGTGAGGCATGTTTTATGTTCATAAATAACATATGCAAGAAAAGAACAGAAATTTTACCACACACAAAAAATCTTATAATGAAATATTTACATGATGTTCTAATTCAGTAAACTAGTTTTGACTATCACTATGTGTAAGAAACTTCTGTGTGTCACTGAAGCACCATCTTGATTTTTCTCGAGTTTATCATGTAAAATCATCTACTCATTTGGTTTCTTTCTTTATCTTCCCTGCTTGGAACTCAGAAGAAATGGGTGAAATAAAACATTTTTATAATGGGCTTTGTTCGGTATTTCAACCATGAAAATTTACCCTTTAAACATAAATTTATATTGGAATTGCATTAAAATATTATAGTTTTAAATGCTGATGTTAAAACATTTTCCCTAATAGCACTTATTTTGTGAAAGGCAAAGTATATAATCCTGGTATTTTACTATTTAGCTAGTTCCTAGGACTTCTTTATGACTATTCTCAACCTTAATAGCTACCATTTATTGAGCACTTATTATATGTCAGATCCTGGAGTAACTGTTTCATATATATATTGCCTTATTTAAGTATCACTTCTACCTTATAAAGTAGATATTTTAATCTTAATTTTGCCCATGAGGATCCTGAAGCACAGCAAGCCTAAATAACTTCCCAAATCCACAAAGCTAGAAAATAGTTGAGTTGGCCTTGAACTCAGATATTTAACTTTAGATTTATCAGATGCTAAAATCCTTGGCTCTCAACTCTGTGTACAGTATTAGAATGCACTTACAAATTGTTCATAATGCTTAATTTGTAAAATCCATTTTTTAAGATGATGGATATGCACTAAAATTCACTTTTGGTTTTACTGAGGGCGGTTTTCTTCAAAGGGGAAATGGAAACATTATAAGCATGGACATGAGTCTGATTTTGCATTTGAGTTCTCTCTTACCACTTAGAATTAGGGCAGTTGTGGATTTTTAGTTAAAGGCCCGATTTATGAGCATTGCTAGTGTGAGAAAGGCAATGAGAATCTTTGAAACTAAAAATGCTATGATCTAGGATGGGTGCACACATTAGTTTTAACATATTTGATCCTCTTTCTTCTCATTCTTCCCAAAAGACTACTTCATGCTTGAGTGACTAGCTAAATGTAAAATGGAGGCTTCCTAGTTATCTCAGGAGGGTGCATTTTCATTCCAGATGTCCTGTTTGCATGCATTGTGTCCAGTGTTCATAGTTTATTTATAAGTTGGATTCATGGATTTGTGTTGGAAATGTCTTTGTTTGAAAAGGTATTTGCATAAAGAAACATTTTAACTCAATAAATGGAAAAATACTATTCTAATATGTACACAAAAATCTCAGGTCACAGAAATTTTTAAACTTGTATTTCTGATCCTATTTTTTGTGCATAATACTTTCAGTAATGATTATATTCACTTTTTCTGAAGATAGAATAGGAAGGGCAATGATGGGGTATTATTAGCATTTAAAGTCTAAAGTATATTTATTTCTATTATTGAATCAGAAAATTAGGTTAAAAAAATTACCAACTCATAAAATCAAAGTCCTATTGTACTCCACTTTCCATCATACTAAACCACTTACCTCATCTCAAAAGCAAAAGGAAGGCAAAATGCATCTTCCACTTTCCATTCATTAGGTCTTGAATATTGAGTGACCAGGGTCAGTGGCTAGATGAGTAGCAGAGCATTAATGTTGGACATCATCCTGCCCAATGCTTGTCAGATGACTTTGAATATTACCTAGTAAGTAAGAACATATATTTTACATTACAGTCCAGCACACACACATGTACATACTAATTGTAATAAATGATTTCAAAAATATGTTTTACCTTTGCTATGTGTCATATTCTCTGACAATATCCCATCCCATTCCATTCCATTCCATTCCATTCCATTCCATTCCATTCCATTCCATTCCATTCCATTCCATTCCATTCCATTCCATTCCATTCTATTCTATTCTATTCTATTCTATTCTATTCTATTCTATTCTTCTATGCCTTATGTAGTCTATTCTATCTTTCTATGCCCTATGTAGTCATGCCATTTTATTCTTTCTTCTTTTAAGTTTGGTCTCGACTCATCATTAAATTGGGTTCATGACCCATTAATGGATCATGACCTGGAGTTTGAAAAACATTCTGTATAAATAGGGGGTATTTGTAAGAGGTTAATAATTAAGACAGTGACAGGATCACATGAGTTTGATCAAATGTTTAGTATGAACTGACTGAAGGAGGCAGTTCTTCAAGTGAGAAGTGATGAGGGACTGAACCAAGCTGTGATAATATAAATAATAATGCTAGTCAAAATGTACTGAACAATGTCTTTGAGAATGCATTATGCAAAACTTCATTTTGGGTATATTCTATGATTTAAGCCCTTTAATAACTGTGCAGATACAATAGGTACTATTTATTATCTTCATTTTACAGATGAAGGAGCAGAGGCTTTGAAAATACTTTTCCCGATTCTACAGAGACTTGAGACTGGCAAAGTCAGAATTAAAACCCAGATTTGCATGACTGTAGCCAAACTCTCATCCGTTACCTTCCTATCTTCTTTACCTCCCCCCGAATATTGTGGGTTTTATTATATAAGGATCAATACGTTTTGTATGGATCCATAACTTGCATCCAAAGAACATGTCTATAGTCTTTTCCAGATGTTTCAGAAGAGGCCATGGAATTTTCCTAAAAAGAAAGACATTTTAAATGTAGAACTGTGAATTTCTCAAGTTGTCAATTCCCTTGAAAATAACAGACCTCCTGCTTGTTTGTTTTTATGCCGTTCCTCTACCAAGGTGCTTGTTTTCATTTTGTTTGGAAATATAATGATGTTTCACCTAAACCTTTCAGAAATGGAAATATAATGATGTTTCACCTAAACCTTTCAGAAATAGATACTATTTCCTTTGCAAGGCTATACTTAATGTCACCAAGTGGAGTGACAGAGTGAAATGCAGAAGATAAAATAAATTGAACATGCACTACAGTTTATAAGTTTAGCTTAAGTTGAGTGTCAGCTCTCCTGGATAAGCTCTCAGCACACTCATTGACTTGGGTCATTTGTTCTCTGAATAGGCTGACACATCCTTACAAAAGGAGAAATGCTAGCAGCCTGGCTTTTCTCTTCCATTCTTCGTTGCAATACTCAGGAAAGGAAATCCAATTTCTGTATACCATGTTTTTAATGGCTCCCCTTGACATTGTATAAGGTACTTGTTGACTAAATGCCTAGATGATTTTCTAGAGGAGAGGGAAGTAAGATTGGGCATTTACCATCTTTGATGTAATGGTGTGTGTTAAATGTGTGCATGGTATGCATGGCAAATGTAAAAATATTTGGGAGAATGCTGAGAATGATCATTTTAAACATTTGTTTACTTTGTATGAAAATTTTTGGATAATCACATAAAGGAGAGTGTTTTCTCCATGCCACCCTTGGGCAAATACAGTTTTGATGCAACAATATTCGGTAGTATACTTTTAAAAATATTTTATCTAGCTGATATTAAGCAATCCCATCAAGGGATTCTTCATTTTGTAAAATACAATTTTCTTTTAAATATCTTGAGCAAAACTTTCGTATACAAAGAAGGCTGGTTTTAAAACAAGACATATCCAGAGCTAAATGTAGTTTCTGTCACCTATTAACATTGTAACCTTGTGTTTAAATGTTCCCAGATGAGGTGTCTTTATGTGGAACATAGGTCAATAATACTCAAACGTGATAGTATTAGTATCAAAGGAGATAGATAAGGCCTAAAAGAGTCTCTGGCTCAAGGTCATGGCTCAGTAAAGATTCATTCCTTATTCTTTCCAAACATGAGAACGCATACACTGAGAACCCTGATACTGTTTAAGTATTCTAGATAAAATTCATAGATATGGCTAGTAAAATTCAGTGGTATATAGACATTACCCCTTAACTACACAAGTAAATATGTTTTATTTCAACACATATTTGGACACCTATATTACAACTGGAAATTATATATTTAGCTGTAGTTAAGGTCCATTGATAATTCTCGTTGTAATGTTCAATGAATCTCCCTACTTACCTAAGCGTTCTGTGAAAAACTGAGTTTATTGGAAAGCATCCAAATCAGCTAAAAAACTACTCTTCAAAAGGAATTTTTACTGTGTTATATATTCTTGTTCTGCTACATGAGTCAGGATAAAGGGAAACATTTAGTTAAATAACGTTTTTATCTCTATGCTAAAAGGCAATTTATGGAGAATAAAACCTAGAATTACATTGTGTTCAACTGTACTGAATTATCCATTTACTCTGAGAACATGGAGAGTATCAGTAGTTTATTCTCAGTAGAGTACAAGGGTTTTCAGCAATAAAAAGCAAGGTGTTTGAGGGTAGTTGCTCCCAGTGGGTAAATGCCTCCAGAATTCTGAATGTAGAGTTATGATGAGAAACAATCCATGGGAGGATAAACAAATGCATGAATGGATATATAGAATTTAATTGAAACAGCAATTAATAGATTACATAGCAAGCAGTTTACAAATAAGATATAAATAAATAAGATTAAATCAATTTTTAACATGGCACAAGGGAATCTAATTAGAAGGAAGATATGCAAAGGATATAAATAATATTCTTAATATATTCTTCTGGGATGAAAGAAATTTAATAAATCAACTTTTCCCCACAGTAGTTTTATTTATTTTGGATGAACTCGTAGGCTCATCTTGTACTTGTGTTCTATTCAAACAGTACTGTGGCTTTAAGTGTGTTTTTCTGCATTATCAGAAAATGCAAAATACTGTGCTCTGGCTTAGTGCTGATGTGACCTTGGTTTATGTTATACCTACGGGAACTGTCATACAGCAGAGCAGTGGGTTTTTATGCTTCTTGGTTTTCACCGCATAAAAGATACTTTATATGAAGCAGTCTTAAATCAGTTGATCTCTTAGAATCTCCAATGTCAGTTTCTTTAAGTTGGAGACAAGAAACAAACCACGAAAAAAATTTAGGCTTCTATGAGCAGAAACAAATGTTGAGTAGTAGCGTTTATTTATTGACCGAGTCTGTCATTCTACTGATATTTGTTAAGCACCTGCAGCATGCAAAACAATTGGTCTCTAAAATCCGTATGCAAGACAAATGTACTTTAAGAAGGTGCAATATCACAGAGAAGGACTGCCCCTGAGTTAGTCCAGTGTGGGATGTATGACCTTCATGCTCAGAAAAGGTCACTGTTTCTTTAACTGAGTACAAGACGAAGTCATTTGCTTGCCCTCAGTTGCCAAGAGGTAGAAGAAACACATGTGATTAAATACTAGCATTATACTCGAACTGGAAGAAACTCACATTCTATGAGGTCCCAGGGGTTGAGATGGCACGGATGAGCAGATTTGCTTTATTCTAATGCAGTCTTGGTCATTCATCCACTGAGTAGAAGGGTGGATGCCATATTTAAATTATTTAAAATTTCTTACTTAGTCTCTCTTATTTTCTCTCTCCTGCTCCGTTTTTCTTTTTCTCCTTTGTTAATGCCCATGTTTTGTCATATGTCTGGAAACAAGCAAATATTTACCTGAGCATATAAAAACTGGGCTTTAGAAGCAGACAGACCTTAGGTAGAATTCAGGAGAAATTCACATTTAGCTAGCATGAACTCTTTTTTTTTTTTTTTTTTTTTTTTTTTGAGACGGAGTCTCGCTCTGTCACCCAGGTTGGAGTGCAGTGGCGCAATCTCGGCTCACTGCAACGTCCGCCTCCCGGGTTCAGGCAATTCTCTGCCTCAGCCTCCTAAGTAGCTGGGATTACAGGTGCCCGCTACCACGCCCGGCTAATTTTTGTATCTTTAGTAGAGACAGGGTTTCACCATGTTGGCAAGGCTGGTCTTGAATGCCTGACTTCGTGATCCACCCACCTCGTTCTCCCAAACTGCTGGGATTACAGGCGTGAGCCACCGCGCCCGGCCTGAACTCTTAATAATCTACACATTAGCCAGAGTGAACAAATAGTTTAGTTTTTCTTGCTTCTAAAATGTGGATAACAATGTTAAACTTGTGAGTTTTCTAAAACAATTCTCCAGAATATATGTAAGAATAGTAAAGTGGCTGGCATAAAATGAATACTAGTAAATGATGGAGAGCAGGATGTAGCACATGATGACAGAAGCAGAGACAAGCAAAAGAGAAAATACCAAATGATGACACCAGGAATGAAAGGTATCTTCTGGACAGAATTTCCAAATAGAGGAAGGAGCTAACTAGGTGGTCAAGGCAAAGAATGCCAGCTGCAGCAGAGGAAGCAGAGTGTGCAACGGCATAGAGGCACCAAAGAATATACTGCATTTATGGAATTGCAGTTTTTTGTTTGTTTGTTTGTTTGTTTGTTTTTAAGATGGAGTTTCGCTCTTGTTATTCCGGCTGGAATGCAATGGCGCGATCTCGGCTCACTGTAACCTCCGCCTCCTGGGTTCAAGCGATTCTCCTACCTCAGCCTCCCAAGTAGCTGGGATTACAGGTGCCTGCCACAATGCCTGCCTAATTTTTTGTACTTTTAGTAGAGAGAGAGTTTTGCTATATTGGCCAGGCTGGTCTCGAACACCTGACCTCAGGTGGTCTGCCCACCTCAGCCTCCAAAAGTGCTGGGATTACAGGGGTGAGCCACAGTGCGCAGCTGGAATTGCAGTTCTAAAAGTAATAGAGGGCAGAAGAGTTGTGCAAGGCCAGATCATGAGGTGTCTTGCAATCTGCAGCCTCTTTAGAAATTGGCACAGAGATTACTATTGCTGTCCAGTTAGAGTCAAGGGTTTTTCAGACAGGGGAAACTCCTTAGGCTGAAGTCACAGTGTAGCATCCAGGATAGCATATTCAAGCCCAAGTAAATTTCTCTTAGCTAAATAGATTTGGTAGGTTTAATACTATATATGACTGGAAGATAAGTTGGTATTCATTTATGGGGTGGTATTTATTAAACTAAAAAAGAATAGGTAAAACCACACAGGGTATGCACCTATTTAATTTTTTTATGAAGTTAATCATAAAACTAATGTTTTAGGAAGAAAAGATATGCTCAATAAATAATAAATTCTATTACTATTATGAGTGTCATTATATGATAATGGAGCAATCACAAAGTAAAAATAAAATAGAATAGTATTTTAATTAACCTAATTAAGTCTACAGTGGTTAAAACCTTAAGAAGTTTCAGTTGAATGTACTGTTTGAAGAAATTAGCATATTAATATAAGATAATTATTATCATAGCACTTCAAATGTTATGAGGTCAGGGTTAAGAGCAAAAGTTATTATGAATATTAAAGAAAGTAATAAATCAATAAAAGGAATAATTTAAATTACTTTGAAGTCTTCTAAACATTTAGCAATTTGGATAAATGAGTAATCGGGGACTTATACCTCACATCCAAAATATATTTTCATAAACAAGTTTGGACAGCATATCAAATAATTCTGAGTGCACTCAGCAATTTTAGGGCATTGATTTTTAGTCAGTATGCAAGCGAGGTCTAATGTTTCTACTTTGGTATCCAAAATTTTCAAAGAAAATTTAGATTTTTTTTCAGTAACAGGATATTTAAATGTGTTTTTCGGCATTAGCAGAAAATGCAAAATACTGTGCTCTGGCTTAGTGCCGACGTGACCTTGGTTTATGTTATACCTACGGGAACTGTCATATAGCAGAGCAGTGGGCTTTTATGCTTCTTGGTTTTCACCCCATAAAAGATGCTTTATGTGAAGCAGTCTTAAATCAGTTGATTTCTTAGAATCTCCAATGTCAGGGTTTTTAAGTTGGAGACAAGAAACAAACCACTAAAAAATTTAGGCTTCTATGGGCAGAAACAAATGTTGAGTAGCAGCATTTACTTATTGACTCAGTCTGTCATTCTACCGATATTTGCTAAGCCTCACACAATAGGCCAACTCCTGTGAGCAACAAACTAAAAAAATTTTCAGTTGTTTAACCAAATAGTTTATTTTCTTGCTCACCTGTGAGCCCTAAGAAGTATACGCAAATGAATGGCTCTCTTCCAAGTGATGACTTAGGGGACCAAGCTCCTTCCATCTGATGACTCTATCATCTTTAATATGGGATTTTCAAGACCATTCTAAGGGTTGTCTGCATTGGCAGATCATATGCAGATTTGTATGTGACTGTTGGAAGCTGACATTTAATTATAATTTTCTTTTGAAATAATATAATTTGTGATACTTTTCATACTATCAAAGCAGCATCTGTCTACCTATTCCATAATTAACTATTGAAATAAATTTGGTTTGTTATAAACTATCACACGAAGATTGCAATATAAAATGTGATTTAAATATTTGAGAATGAGTCTCAGTATAGTACAATAAATTCAGAGATGAATGTAGAATCTTGTGAAGATGACAAATTATGCAGATAACAGAAAACGTGTATCTAAATAACTACTAAGAAGTTAGCTAAAGAAAGAAAAGGAAGAGGAGGAAGAGAAAAGAGGAAGAAGGGGAGGGGAAAGGAAAAGATAAGGAGAAGGAGAAAAATAGGAAGTATCAGCAGTAAGGTATTGGACATTATTCTCATTCAATAGCCCAGTTGTTCCTTAGGTATAAGAAATAATAGGCAGAAACATTTTCCTTCTTATGTTCCTGAAAATCCAACCCCTAATGTAGGAACTATTGAACTCAATTCAAAATCAAAGTGATGTGCCCTAAACTTTCCTATCTCAAAACCTCCAAATCATCTTGGACTCTTGATTCAAGTGTTCTGTCTAGCCTCTGATGTACTTACTTCTACTTATTTCAAGTGACTCTTAGTTTAAACTCCATGGCTACCCAGCTGTCACCTTTGTGACTGACCTCCCTGAAGTCAGTTTGAGGGCAAGATCACCTCCTCTCCCACAGAGGCTGGAGTCAGCATAAGTGTTTACAAGTTATGCAGTATTGTACAAAGGATCAGTGAGATTCTTCTAGAAAATATGTTGACAAACTTTTAAAAACAGTCATATATAATGACATACACATTACATAATTCCATTAGTTCATGGATATTTTTACTAAATGCAAAGCTACATAACAAGTGAGAGTGAATTGGTATAAAATAGATTTGGAGAAAGTTGTCAGGATAATAATAGTACAGATAGTTCTCAGATTCTCAAAAATGGTAAAAATTAAAGACAGAAATACTGGGAATGTTGAAATAAGGCAAACTTGAGAACAAGAGTAGTAGAGAGACTAGGCATAAGACATTATTTTGTTGTCAAGATACTTTCTTTCTGATTTCACTCTGAAATCTAGTTTTAGCTTCTGTTAGTCTTGGTTCATATTATCCAGCTCTTCAAGTGTACACTCTGCCTTACACTCTCAATTTGAGGGTTCACTATTGACTACTAAAGACTATAGTCTCCTTCAAATCTGGATCCTTCTTTAATTTTTCACCTTCTGCAATGATTTTAGAATTTTATTTTATTTATCACCCCATTTAAATAAAAGGCTGCCGAACATCTCCTGTAAGTATATAAGGACTCCGTTTCTTCAAAAGAGGGGAATCTTTTTCTATTCAAATAGCTTGGAAACATTGATTAAACCTGCCATATATTAAGGCCACAAAAACCTCAATAAATTATTTAAATATATAAATATAGAACACTCTCTTTGATCTCTATACAAGAAAGCTGGAAATTAAAAACAAACTGAAAAGAAAAACGCCAGTTTCACCTGGAGATTTTGAAAACTTGCTCAAAGGCCCATAGGTCAAAATGAAAATGAAAATGAAATTGTAAATTTCAGGTACACGATAAACTTACAGAAAACAAATATTAATTTTTTTATTAATCTAAGACACCACCATTTGTAAGATGCATGGTTCTCTTGTGTTCATTAACAAGAAAATTTCTGCCCATAAACCATGACTCAACTCTGTTACAGTCGTTAGAATTTTTCTCCTACTGTGACACTAAGTGCATTAGTATTGCAGCCTGAGTTGGGAGAGTGCTCCACTATTATCTCCCAAATTCTCTTCCAAGCCGTTGACACCCATTTTGAAATTTTTAAAGGTAGATCTTCTTGGAAAGTGTTCATAGAATATTTTAGATCAACAAAATAAAGGTATTTGAAACAGTAACTAAACTTAGCTTTTCAGCATCAATAAGGCACATAAGCCAACAGGAACAATGTCCCAGTCTATCCAGTTTCCAACATTAGTTATCAGCTATGTCAGGACTGTAACCTGGCTGATAATCATTGGAAATTGATCAAAATGGAGCGTAGTGTACTAACATGCATATCATTCACCCCTAGATGAAGATATCTCTTAATTCTAAAATATGTCATAAGTTGAAATGACCTTAAAAAGTTGTGTCTCAGAATAGATAAAATATAAATTTAGGTACTAGAGAACACAGCTAAGGTATTGCTCAGAGGAAAATTACTGGCCTTACATAGATGAATTAATAAAATGGGAAAATTTAAGTGAATTAAGCAATTAGGTTCAAACTGTTAGAAAAGAAAAAAAATAAATCCCAAGGAACGAGAACAGAATTAATAAGGGTAAAACTAGAAATCAATGATTTAGAAATCTGAGAAACAATAGAACACAAATACAAGATAAATAAAGAAATATCTAAGGTGCTTAAGAGAGAAAAATGGGGAGCATGAAAACAGAAAATTAGGGAGAAACAGCCACTGATAAAAGAGAAACTCAGTTTCCCTCAGTCATAAAGTGGGGATAATAAATTCATGCTGATTCATGTAGTTTTAGTGGATTAGAGTTCATACATTTAAAGTTCCTGGTACTGTGCCTGACATATTGGAGATACTCACTAAGGTCAAGTATGAGTATCACTACCTCTTCCATTATTGTTGCTGCTACTAATGCTACTACCGCTAATGCTATGACCATTCCCACTGTTTACCACTAAACAGTGGTGATAATAATAACATGCCTGGGATGATTCTGAATAGCTGAGATGGACACTAATACCTAAGTCAAGGAAAGTTTGCTGAAAAGATGAAGACCAAACTGAATCTTGTAGTACAACTAAGAGATAGGGAAAAGATCATGAGAGAACAGAATCCACAAAGGCAAGAAAAGAAGGATGAGACCAGGTGGAATGGCTCACGCCTATAATCCCAGCACTTTGGGAGCCAGAGGCCAGTGGATCACCTGAGGTCAGGAGTTAAAGAGCAGTCTGGCCAACATGGAGAAACCCCATCTTCACTAAAAATACAAAAATTAGCTGGGTGTGGTGGCACATGCCTGTAATCCCAGATACTTGGGGGAGCTGAGGCACAAGAATCACTTGAACTCAGGAGGCAGAGGTTGCAGTGAGCTGAGGTCATGCCATAGCACTCCAGCCTGGGTGGCAAAGCAAGTCTCAAAAAAAAAAAAAAAAGATGAGAGATCTTTGTGGATCCATGCATTTTTTTCAGCAATGTTGCTATATAAAATGTGCATGGAATGGTGTTTAGAAGGAAGATGATGAGAAATTAAGTGACTGCATGAATTAGGATGCATATATTAATACAGTAAGGTCCCTTTTGACCAAATTGGGAGTTTTGTGGTTTTTATTGGCTTATCTACATGATATCCTTTATAAGAGCTTAAAAGGACACATCCTGGGTTTGTGTTTTAAATTTATTTTACCCTAGAATTTGAACACGTTACAGGAAGAATACAGGAGGCCATCATAAACTCTTCAGGCTGAACAAACTAAGTTTCCATGATGTAAAATAACAAAAATAAGCAACACATTTTGTTAAAATAGGAGATTCAAAACTGGTCCTATCACATCACAGAGCCAAAACACATACTTGCCTGACTATTTGACAAGTAGCAGTCTCTTTTAGAAATAGATGTACTTCTGTGTACAGATATGTACTTATATATGATCTGGCTATTTCAAATGGAATCCCCAGCAATCAGGATGTGAAGTAGAGCATTTGGTTATAGTAATTTCTAAGTTAGGCAGTTCTAAGTTTAAATTCTATTTTTGCATCTTATTTGCTAGGTCTATAATATATATATCTAAAATACCTATACTTTTGGAAAGTTACTTTACATCTCTAAGAATCTGTTTCTTCAATGAAATAGTGTGCCATACATATCCTATGAGTTTGATTAGATAATGGGGTATTAATGTAAGCAAAATACTCAGCAAAGTGCTTGATAGATGTTATTAACATTGTTATGATCATTTACCTTTTTCTAAATCATTTTGCATTTGTGTGGACACTCCCCATTAAATCTTAAACATTTATCAGAGTTTGCAAGCTCAGGATTTTCTGTTAGTACTGTCACATCTCATGACCCCTGGGCACCTTCCTCCTCTGAGCAATAAGTGTCTCTTCTGCAAGCCAGATGAGTTTTCATTTAACTTGCCTGCTCATCTTCACCTTCCTCTTCCTGCTTTCTGCAGTGAAACTGATGGATATGTGCTTCTGCTGATCAGCTCAGTTAACACTTGCATAATACCTTGGCAAGAAAATGCTAGTTCACCTGCTGCTTATTTATGTGGAGGTTTTGTCTATTGCATTTTTGTGTGTAAGATAAGGAGCCAAACTCTTAAGACTTAGGAAACAGAGCAACTCCAGCCTACAGATTTGCATTTCTGCATTTAACTATCCTTTCTTATAAACAGCTAGGATCAGGTCTGCATGGATGTGCAGGCACATCATTATTTTGCACATATGCTATAACAGCTGGGGCTGTTCTCACCCAGATGCGCCCTCTGTGAACTTCTTTGTGTCCACTCCTGGTAGACTCTTCTGTTTATGGAATTTATATTACCATAATTCTCATCACCATTGCTCAGCCTGTCATCTCAGAGGACTGTGACAAACCTAAAGAAGTGAGAAGGCGGAGAAGTAACACTCAGAGGGGATTATAAATGAACTGAACGAAGAACTTAGAGAAATGGCTCAAGCTGCCAGGTGGCACTTGAGTCTTGAGGTGACCTCATGGATGACAATATTTTGAAAGGAGATGTGAGTCTAGATGTCCTTTTCTCAAACGGAGAAGCATGTAATGCTTAAGAGAAAGAAATCTAGGGTCAGACTTGAGTTTGAATCCAGGTTCAACCACTTCGAACCAATATGACTTTGACCAAAAGATGTACTCTATTTGATCTTCAGTTACTTCCCATATAAAATAGGGAAAATAACAGCTGCTGTATAGTGTTGTTTGGAGGGTTCGATGTGATATAGGAAAGTGCTCAATTTCTGCTATATATTGAGTACTGGATAAACATTGTAATTATGATAATGATGACAATGATAATGATGAAAATGATAAAATAATAACTTTGACTATTAGGAAAAGTGAATCTATTCTATAAACCCTCTGAATTAATGTTCCTAATCCATTGACATGCTTCAGACTCATTTTCAAAAGCCACTGATATTAAACATGATTTATTGAGTTATATATCCTTCTCCCATATGGATGCCACAAGTTATCCAGAATGCAGTTCTAGGCTCCTGTCCTCCCTTTTTAGACTTATTTTCTACTTCTTCCTATATTACATGCTTGATGCTAAGGTTAAATTAAATAGTCTACAAACAGCTATTGTATATTTTGTTCACGTTAACATTTCTATCACCTAGACCCATTTCTGACCTACATCAGGGAATCACCATTATTGACCAAACTGTCCTTTTCCATTCCAGACTCTTTACCAATGCTCAGGGCCTTCAGGAAACGGGAAATACCTCCTTTTCACCCTGTTTCTTTACATTAAAACCTCTACATCTCTGCCTCTTTTACCTGTTGGCTATTAGTTCCAAGTCCTACCGCTATCCACCACCTACTCTTTTCTGAGAAGTTAGGATTAAGGTTCCAAAAATTACATTTTCCAGACTCCCATTTTCAGCCATCTCTGGGTAGATTTTGCCAGTAGGAAATGTGGACAGGAGGTGGAAGTTGGAAGAAGGATTCTTTTCTGACTTCCAGGTTGGGTCTCCCTCTCCATTTGAGGCAGACAACGATGGCTTCAGCCTCCAACTTCCTTGACACTTCTAGCCCTGATGTCACTTTACCTGAGTGGGGGGAGTACCACATAGCCCACCCCCATTCTCCCAACACACAGCAGAGCCCCTCTGAGATGTGTAAAAAAACAGCCAGGCCCCCTCAGTGGTCTAGTATGTGTGAAACAATGGCTTTTTTTCCCTAAGAGGTCCAACTACCAACTGCAGGGAGCTTCTCCTTTCAGATTCGTTCATTCTTTCTTTTTTTCTCCCCTGCTGGCCTGAAGAATGGTAGCAACTTCCTAAAGCTGTTGAGCTCTGGGTTACATCAACATCCCCAGAAGCTTCAGTCTTTAATCACCCGAGTAACCAATGGTCAGTATTAAATAGACTTTGTCTAAAACACCAGACTCTGATTAATAGAACATCCTTCAAGTTTCTTCTCAAATGCCACCTCCTTTTCTGATCCCACAATGTATTCTTTTTCTCTTTTATCCTCTCATAGTGCTTATTTTTATATCATTTTTGAATTTTACCTCCTTTGCTATGTGAGGAAGCCCTTTCTCAGTTTTTCTAAAATGTATCCCAAGAATGTCATGAATCCTCAAATTCATAATATTCTACTATCAAATTACTAAAGTTCTGTACTTTCTTTATAATTCTTTCACTAGCACTCATGGTAAGCAGTTTTAGAACAGGGCTGTTTCCTCCTCAAGAAGCAAAGTTTTTCTATTATTTTCTTTCAAGTGTTATTATGTTGAAATATTCAACAAAATCTGGGTTTACTTGTCAATCAAGCTTTTTTTTTTTTTTTTTTTTTTTTTTAGAATATCAGTGTCCTAGTGCATGGGACTTAAACATGTCTCAACAAACTTGTAGACTCCATTAAAGCTTGTCTTAGTTTGTTAGAGCAGCCTGAACAAAGTATTGCTAATTGAGTGGGTGGCTTAAACAATAGGAATATATTGTCTCACAGGTTTGGAGGCTCAAAATCTGAGATCAAGGCATCAGCAGGGTTGATTCGCTCTGAATGCGGTGAGAGTGATCTTACCCATGCCTCTTCCCTAGTATCTGGTGGTTTATTGACCATTTTTGACATTCCTTGCCATGAAGAAGAAGCATTACCCAGAGTTTTTCCTTCATCTTCACTGTATTAGTCAGTGTTCTCTAAAGGGACACAACTAACAGGATAGATGAATATATGAAGAGGATTTTATTAGAATTGACTCACACAGTCACAAGGTGAAGTGCCACAAAAGGCTGTCTGCAAGCTGAGGAGCCAGGAAGCCAGTCCGAATCCCAACAACTCAAAAGTTGGGAAGCCCATAGTGCAGTCTTCAGTCTGTGGCCAAAGGCCACAGAGAGCCCCTGGCAAAGCACTGGGGTAAGTCCAAGAGTCCAACAGCTGAAGAACTTAGAGTCTGATGTTTGAACTTAGGAAGCATCCAGCACAGGAGAAAGATGGTGGCTGGAAGACTCAGCAAGTCTGCTCTTTCCATGCCTGCTTTTATGCTGGCAGCTGATTAGATGGTGCCCACCCAGATTGAGGGTGGGTCTGCATCTCCCAGCCCACTGACTCAAATGTGAATCTCCTCTGGCAACACCCTTACAGATACACACAGGAACAATACTGTGCATCCTTCAATTCAATCAAGTTGACACTCAATATCAACCATCAGGTTCACACAGCCTTGTCCCTGTGTATATGTCTATGTCCAAATATCTCCTTTTCATAAGGACATCAGTCATATTGGTTTAGGGGCCCACTTTACTCCACTATGACCTCATCATAACTAGAAATTGCTTTTGCAATGATCTTATTTTCAAATAAGGTGACATTCTGAGGTGGTAGGGATTAGAAACTCAACACATGAATTTGGGGTCCACCAGGATTGTCACTTATTAAGTTCACACAAGTCTACCATATTATAATACGATTTGAATTCTATTTATCCTCCCCCTCAAAACCTAGTTTTGAAAACAGGGCAATATTGTTGCACACTCATGACTCTCTCCCTCAGGGCAAGTTATCATGGGGAATATTTGTTGAATTAAAAACTACATAGCAGCGCTGACTATGGCCATAAATATATGCTACTTATTATCAAGTACTGTTCTGGCTCCCCTTCTGCGTTGTGAACTGTTTGGGACTAGGAATCATGTGTTTCTGCCCCACTGGTACCTAGAAAAATGTTAAGCTTTGAGATGAGGTATGAGTTATCACTCACGCTACTTGATAGAGAACTGATTCCTCAGGATACTCAATATTGTCGTGACTACAAAGTAACTTCCATCCTCATCCAGTTTTCAGTTTATATTAGACTATTTGGGTGGGGAATGGAAAGGTATTGTTTTTAAAGTTATATTCCCTATCCTGTGGTATTTCAGATGGTTTATGTATTTTAGTTATCTTTGCTTTCCCTGGCTCTAAGCATGATGCTGGCTATATGACATGTTAATTAGGTTGCATTGTACACATCAGAAAATCCAAATAGTGTTAGCTGATACAACTTAGTGTTAAATTTTTATTATGTATACTAAGGTTTTTTGTTTTGTTTTGTTTTATTCTACTAAGATTGGTGCTTGTGTCTATTCATGAGTTCTGGCCTTTACAAATTCATCCAAGAAGCAAGAAAGAGGGGGTGGCAGGGAGGACAATGGGCCCCCTTCCATATAAGTCTAGACCCCTATAAAGAGGTCCTCAGATACATCAGCCAGTGGCTTCCATTCATATCTCATTGGCCACCCCTAGCTTCATGAGAGAAGGAAAAAATATAGGTATGTGTATATATACACAAATGTACACATATCTATATAATATATAGATCTACACATATATATTTATTAAATTGGGTACTTGCTAATCTTAATAAAATTGTGGATTTGTTCTTAAAGTAGAAGCAAGCATATATACCGGGCAGGGAATTAACTATCTTTGTCATAGTGATTATAGGAGATAATTAATAAATGCTGGTTGTTCATAATTGAAGTTTATTAATTTGACTTTTTAAAAATATAATAGGAAATAACAGTTTTCGGTATTGATAGTTACCGTAATATAAATGAGGTTGTTGGTGAGCCTGGCAGTTCTTTTCTGATTTACACAAATCTGGCATTACACAATATAGAGGTATTTTGATGTGTTACCTTTTGCAGTTTGGCTTTATGTCCTGTATGTGTGCGAGGCTGCATTTGTGGGTTCCTTGATGTTGCAGTCACATATGACTGTTCCCCAGCAACTGATGTCTGGTTCAATAGGAATCCTTTGACCTCTCATCAGGAGTAAATCTCTCAATCCACCTGAAATGGAAGCTCTAAGTCTTCTTACTCCCAAATGTCTCTAAGTATTGTCTCTTCCTTTCTACCTCTACTGCCTTGTATAAGTGTATTAGTCTGTTCTCACATTGATATGAAGAACTATCTGATACTGGGTAATTTATAAAGAAAGAAGGTTTAATTGGCTGACAGTTCCATAAACTGTACAGGAAGCTTGGCTGGGGAGGACTCAGGAAACTTACAATCATGGTGGATGGCGAATGGGGAAGCAGACATGTCTTACATGGGTGGAGCAGGAGGAAGAGAGCGAAGGGGGAGGTGCTATAAACTTTTAAACAACCAGATCTCCTGAGAACTCACTCACCGCACAAGAATAGCAAGGGGGAAGCCCACTCCCATGATCTAATCACTTCCCAATAGGCCCCTCTTCCAACACTGGGAATTACAATTTGACATGAGATTTGGGTAGGGATACAAATCCAAACCATATCAATAGGTCTATTCACCTGTTGTCTAGAGACTGTGACACTGGTGTCCTGACTGGCCTCTTGCCACCTGTCTCATCCCAGACCAACTCATTCTTCACACTATTGCCAACATTAAATTAAAAATACTTTCGGCTCCGCCCTGTCTCTTGATTGTGGAATCAGAGGGATCTCACAATCCAGTTCTCAGTGACATTGACTGTGTTTCTTTACCTGTTCCTGTATGTGACTGTTGCTCCAACAATTCCTGTCTCCCATTAGTTTCCCTACAGTTCTTTGCTTGCTCATGCTTCCCTGCTTATCAGATACTATTGTTTCTACTTAGAGCATCCTTCTTTTTTTGTGCTATCTGGCAGATAAATTCTACTTGGATATCCAGAGCTGCTTGAAACATCACTTCTCTTTAAAGCTTTCTTTGATTTGGTCTGGCAGAATCAGTCACCAGTTTTCCCCATGGTCTAATCCCATTTTATATTTCAGCAATCTCTTTAGAGCTCTCTGCACTCCTCATTTTTCTATGAGTTTTTCAAAAATAAGAGCTTTAAATTACTCAACTTTTTATATACTTTCTCCTCTCCTCACCCAACACAGTGCCAGACACAGAGTATTCTGTAAATGATTATTGAATAGCTATAAATCTGTAATGAATGTCATTGCCAATCAGTTGCTTTAGGTGAATGTTGTAGGAGATGGTACTATGTGGATGTAAAACATGAATAGCCGTATGACACAAATAGTTGCCATTTCAATGTACCTATATGCCAGGTTTGAGGCTAAATAGTTCACATATTTATGTTTATGAAAGTTTGAAACTACCCTACGGTATTTGCCATGGACTGAATTGTGTCTCAAAATTTGTATGTTGAAGCCTTAACACCCAATGTGATCATTTTTACAGGTGGGGCTCCTTGGAGGTAATTAGATTTGGGTGAAATCATGAAGGTAGGGCTCCCATGATGAGATTAGCACTTTCGAAAGTAAAAGAAGGGAGACCAGAGATCACTTTTTCTCTACCATGTGAAGATATAATAAGAAAGCGGCCATCTGCAAGCCAGGAAGAGGGCCCTGACGCAGAATGGCATTAGCCAGCCCCTTGGTCTTAGACTACTCAGCCTCTGAAACTGTGAGAAACCAATGTCTGCTGTTTGATCCAACAGGTCTATGGTATTTTGTTATGGTAGCCCAAGCTGATTAACACAGGATTTTTATCTCCATTGTATGCAACTTGCCTTGGGTCACTCTGCTAGTAAGGGAAAGCTATGGTTTGCATATTAACCCCCAACCCAAACCTCATGTTGAAATTTGATCCTCACTGTTAGAAGTGTGGCCTAATTGGGGGAGATGTTTGACTCAAGGGGGTTAGATCCCTCCTGAAAAGCTTGGTGTTGTCCTTGTGGCAATGAGGGAGTTCTCCCTCTGCTAGTTCCCTTAAGAGCTATTTGTTAAAACAGAACCTGGCATCTCCACTCTCTCTCTTGCTTCCTCTCTCACTGCGTCACCTCTGCACACACTAGCTCCTTTTTCCCTTCCACCATGAGTGGAAGCATCCTGAAGCCCTCACCATAAGCAGATGCTGGTGCTGTGCTTCTTTTACAGCCTGTGGGAGGGTGAGCCAAATTAACTTTTCTTTATACATTACCCAGCCTCAGGTATCTCTTCATAGTAACACTAAACAGACTAAGACACGGAATTACAAATTTTCTCCACATTTATCTGAATTATAGCTATGCTCTTAGAAACACACTCTAGTGGCTTGCTTTTAAGATCATGGGCATATGTGACAATGAGCAGAAGACTGAATGTAAAGAGCAAATAGAAGGTCCCCCACTTATGATCCTGGGTCATGTGCAAAGGAAGTCACATGTTAGTCCTCCTCCAATGTGTGAGTTCTTTTCCACCTAGGTTAAATATTTAGTCCATTGAGGAGTGGGTGTTGGAGGGCTGGATAGGTGCACATGAGAGCTCATTTCTGAATCTTAATTCCTCATTAAATCCATGGAAGAAGGACAACTCTGTTCAACTTCCTACTTCCCATTTGAGAGCAAGCACCTCATCTTTGCACTCAACGTGTAGTTGAAAGAATGACATCAATGGAAAAATGTTTTAAGTTACAGAAATAAAAAGAACCACAATCTATTTTACAAGAGAATAATAGAGCAGGATGTAGGGGAGATCCGTGGTTTTGGAGTCAAGTAATTTTTGTTGTAATTTCAATTTTCTAATCTATCAATGGATATAATAGCAATAATACTCATATCACAACACTGAGATAGTAGATAAAAACAATGTCTTAGATATATTAATTGCTTAGTAAAAAGGTATATGATTATTCAAGATCTTCTACTCCTTTTAAACAATTTACGTGATTCTTTTAGTTAACTGAAGAAGTGAAATGCATTATATCATGCACTCAAAACAGGCAATAGATAACCCTAAACCTTCAAATCCATTATCTCCTCCCCTACTTAAAACATGTTTTCTCATCTGAGATCCAGGTCCTAGTGTTTCCCAAGACCCAGTTCAAATAGCGTCACTTCTACTTTCCCTCCTAGTCCTCTCTCTCAGTCAAAATTATCTTTCCCTGTCTCTGAATTCTCTTAGCATTTGAACTAAACCTTTCTTATAGGACTTAACATATTTTATGTGTCTCTCCTACTGTCATATTTGAGTACTTTTTCTAAATTATCTATATATTGAGTAGTAGCTCATTAAATATTAGATTGGTAAGTGATGAACAGAGCACCCATTCATTAATTTAGCATTTTGGAATTTTCGTTGCCTATCATATCTGTTATCCCATTTGATTTTCATATAAATTGTGGAAAGATATGTAATGCAAGTAATGCAATTCCCAATTTGAATATAGTAACACACAGAAAGATTAAGCAATGTTAAGCAATGTGTCAATATTCACACAGCAAAGGAGTTAACAGACTTTATGTAAAAATTTGACTTTTCTGATTCTTCTTCCAATGCATGTTCCATCATCATGTTTTTGGAGAAATGCTTCAAACACACAGAAAGTTTAAAACATTAAGTTGAAGGAAACCATTTGTGTTTGAATCATTTTTTAACATATCCATTCCTTCTGCCAATATATACAAATGTGCTTGTGGGAAATACCTATCTTTAAAAAAAATCTAGTAGTTATTAGCATTGCAAAATTATGGCCCTATGGAAACTGATCCTTTAGTTATAACATCTGTATTATTTGAATCAAACATATTTAAAACATCAGACCAACCAACAGAGAAGTAATGTTTTTAAAATCCTTTAAAACCTAACTGACATTAATGAGAAATTACAATTTTAAATGCATTACCCTTGTAAGATAAATCAAAGGTAACAGTAATTAAGATAATTGCAAAAGATATTTTGGGTTCTGTGTATTTACGCGAGTGTTGAGAGGTGGAATATAAATGTGAAAGTATTTTTGTTCACTTTGGTATCTTAAGCTTGAAATAATTTTTAGGTCACAACACTTTTTCATATTTAGTTTAAAATCTGGAATTTGATAACTCAATTTTAAATCCCTGCGTGTGGACAAATTTTCCAATTTTATAACATAAAATACTTATTAAAGAGAGGTTTGCTTTTGTTGTTGGCCTTCTAGAAAATATGCAGTTTACTACAGTTTTTAAAAAAAGTTTTTGTTTTGGTTAAGAAATTTTCCTCATTTCTATTTAATATGCAATAAACATGTGTTCTTTATTTGGTTCTGATAATAAAAGTCATCAAGTTACCACGAAATTCCCAAATGTTACATGTTATTTTGTTGGAGGCATTTAAGCATGAATGTTTACTCGGCATAAACAATTAGCATAGTTAAAAGTGATTCCCACAAGCTATCCAGAAAGAGGTGAAGGGACCATTTAGATGTAATGTGCTCATATGTGCATTCTTGGTAATGGCTCTTTAATATCAGTGGTCAATGGCACATCCACCTCGGTAAATTAAATGTTGATGATAGTCACTTAAACTCTAAGCATTCATTCTGACTCCTTTAGAATTGCTTATATGTTTTAATAAGTATTTTGGCAGTCTTATGTATCCCAGGGTTCAGCAATTTTTTTTTTAAATTAAACCTTTGGTTTATTTGTTTTGTATTCAAAAATGACTCTTTCATAGTTGTTTTCATGGTGAGTGAGCTAGTTACTAGAATGTCTAAAAAGGGCAGAAGAAGGCAAATGGAGAGACAGAAAGGAAGAGAAAGATTTTGCTACTTGTAGATCCACAGTAGATGACCAGAGGATTTTTCTCAAAATTGGATAGTTTCAGGAAAAGTCCCAGAATTCTATACCCTGACCAAGCTATAATCACATCCTAATTGTCTGTCCTTATTGCCACAGTGTTTTCATTAACCAGATCTGGGTCATACGTTTACCTTTTGAGCCAGGGCACAGGGTCCTTCTCATAAATGAACAATGTGGAAGGCAATGTGATTTTCCAAAAAGCAAGGATAGGTTCTGTTATCCAAAAAATAAGTGATTTATGAACGATTAAAGGATGTAATGTATGTGAAACTCTTACTGCCATCCCTAGCAACTAGGTAAATCCTCAATTACCATGCATCTATCATTCTTTCCTTAGTAAAGATGGTAAGTAATTTAATTGCCTTAACAGCTTTTTTTAACTTTTTTGTCTGATTTTTTTAGTGGAAGACAGTATGCATAAAACCGGTCCACTCCCCAAAATAAGGAAAAACAATAGAACTGCTGCTGCCCACCATCATTTAAATGGCCACAAGTAAAAAGACAAGTCCTATGAGTTGTTTCTGAAATTATTGTTGAGGGAAATAATTAAAAATTTCTGAGTTACCATTTAATCTTTGGCCTTAAATGATCAAACAGAGTTGTCTGTCTCAATGCTATCTAAGGAAATTGTAGTTCCATCCCTTCTATTTTTAGTCTTTAATCGGTTCTCCCTTAAACTCCCTCTTTCTTTTCTTTCTATCAGGGAAATATATTGAAACAGAAACAAACTTTTTAATAGATTTTATTGTTCACATTGGAAAATGCGTGGCAAAAAGATACTTCATTCTTCTTTATATTCCCACTAATACCCCCAAAAGGTCCTGAGGACTTTGAAGCTCCCCTAATGGAAAAGGTTATTTCTTAATAATCTGTATTTCTTCAGCTTGCTCCAGTACATGTAAGTAATATTAAAGTGTGCAATCCAGACTCCAGCTGTGGCAAAGCAGAACACTCCATGTAATGAGCTCTATTATTTTTCCCCACGCAATTTAATAGCCCAATAACTTTAATACCAAAAAATGTTTCTGAGACAAGTCAAAATGTGGTTCTAATTGTATTGTTTTATTTTGGCAGCATTGATTTCTTTCCTTTTAATTCTGCAGTACAATCTACTTGCTATCAACAAATACAAGGCCTCATTTTTCATTTGTGGAGGCACCAATCTAAACATCCTAAAACAGCACACAGTATTGTACTTGTTGGCTGAACCCTCCTAGAGGGTTACAGAAATTAAAGTTTGCTATCTTATTTGAATAATCATGAAATATGCCCAACTTTATTAACCTCTCCAAAGGAAGGGAATCAAGTCAATCAGCAAAATAAATAAACCCCAAATGGTTTCATTGCTGATGCATTAAATGATATAATGTGAGGTGGTACTTTATCATTTTTATATCTTAATATTACAACAGTGTTCCATGAGTAAGAGCTATATATGCTGAGTTTTCCAGGTAAAATAAAACCTTTGCTCAAGTCACAAAAAGTTGCTTAACATAAATAAAATCTTGCTGCTGAAATAACTAAGGCTATTTTGTGGTAAGTGCTAAGATTATTTGGCTTAGATAATTTCAAGTCTGTAGTTTTTGTAAAATGAGCTGTATTTGTGAATATTTAATTTTCTGAACTTTGATCTATAATAGGCACTTACATGTTTACGGATACACTTTAAATTTTAATAAGGCTCAATTGCAAAAACAGCTATGGTCCATTTGCTTCAAAGGCCTTTAATCAGAGTTATGGTAAATATGTAGATCCAATAATCTGAAAATCAGATGCAGAGTTCATTTTACAATTGGAATGGCCCTATGGGAGATGATCTTAAAGTTAGGAACATTTTGCATCAGGATACAAGTGAAACAAAGTTCAATTTAGGCGCTTGTAAAGTATCATTTGAAGCCCATTTGCATTTACACTATTTGCTTATTTTTAGAATATATATGAATTAGTTCTCCAGGGGGAGAAAAACAAATGGCTATATACAGAAAGAGAATGAAATATTATCAAAGATGCATCATCTGATTACAAAGGGGAAAATCAAAGTAAAATGAAATAGATCAAGTAAGGGCATAAATCAAGCAAGAGGAAATAATTCCATGAGAAATGAATAAATTAAAAGTTATCCACAGTGTAATTAAACTGCTGAACTAATTTCTTTCTGCAAACTTAGATATTATTCATGTGAGAGAATGGGAGAAAGAATAGAAGTAGTAAGAGATACAGATGATAAGCCCTGAGTTTTAGTTCCATTTCTGCCCCTAAAATATCATGGAACCATCGACTAATAATACATTTTTTCAAATTCTTGGTTTTCTCATTAGTAAAATATGGTTGATACTTTCTCTGCATAGTCTAGAAGGTCTGTATGGTTGACATTAATCATTTTCTTCCTTCAAGACCCCATAAGTTACCACCTTTTCTCTGAAGTGGCTTTCCTGGCAGAGTCATGGTGTCTTCTGTTCTTCCATCAGCAACCTGTTGAGCCCTCTGTTATAGCACAAAATTCACCATGTGTGTCCTTCTGTATACTCCGAACTCCTTAAGGGACAGATGCCATCAATTAGTCCTTGAATGGGTCTGGGTATGAATACATACATGGTGAATGCATATATGGTGAATGCTTATACTTTCATTTGCCAGTACCTACCACAGAGCTTGACAAATGGGGGGTCTACAATATATCATCGAATGAATAAAAGCACTTTGAAACTGTTTCCACTTTGTGACTCAGTGTCCTCATTCAAATTGTAAGACTTGGATTAAATGAACCTCAAGTTCCACTCTAGCCCGACAGAGAGGTGATAATTATTATTATAATTATTTCCCCAATTTATTTGCTGATGATTATGTGGTACTTACTGGTCTAGGGCCTGGTATTCATTCCATTTGGTCATAAATAGACTTATTCAGGTGGCTGTTAATATCCCACTTTTACAGTTGAAAAAACTGAGGCTTAGAAAACTTGATTGTCTTTTTCAAAACAATGGCTAAGTTTATATGTAAATTAAGGTGGTTCTGATTCCAAAGCCTATGTTCTTATTCACTAGGTTACAAGGCACAAAGACCCTTATGCATTATGGGTTCAATTTAATTTTTTTGACTTGAAATACACTTCACAGCATGATGAAGCTCTGGTAACTTACACTATCAGAAAATAAATTTCCAACCAGTAGAAGAACTGCTAATACAGTTCAAAAGCTACTTGCCTCTTTTTGATCAATAAAGTCTTAACATTACAACATCCAGCAAGCAAAATCTACATAATCTTTGCTTCACATTTCAATTAGTCTGTTGTAATGGCATGGCTTTAAACAGGCAAGAAATAGTTATTTTTCTTTAATCATCACTTTGATCATTGTAACTAGATGCTCCTGATAGCCTTAGCCTTTGGACATGGATTTTTTTTCTTGTTAGTGTCACCTAATATGACAGAACTCTCTAATGAGACTAGCAATGTATAATTTCAATTTCTTTTGGCAAATTTAAATCCTGAAAAAGCACAGACTGAATCTCATTTATTTTGTTTTATTTATATATTTATTTATTTATTTATTTTTGAGACAGAATCTCACTCTGCCGCCCAGGCTGAAGTGTAGTGGCGTGAGCTCAGCTCACTGTAACCTCTGCCTCCCAGGTTCAAGCAATTATCCTGCCTAAGCCTCCTGAGTAGCTGGGATTATAGGCATACGCCACCACACCTGGCTGATTTTTGTATTTTTAGTAGAGACAGGGTTTCACCATGTTGGCCAGGCTGGTCTCGAACTCCTGGCCTCAAGTGATCCACCTACCTTGGCCTCCCAAAGTGCTGGGATTACAGGCGTGAGCCACTGCACCAGGTCCTAAATCCCATTTAAGGTAACAGGCATAATACTTGCAAATGTCCTAAATTCATACCAAAGCTGATTTGTAGCACAGCCCTTGGATGCAGTGTGCTCTCTGGTTTACGGGAAGTTTCTGGCTACCAACACTGCTGGCCACGGCACACCTCTCAGCTAACTTTTAAAAATCAAAAAGCACCATAACCACTTTTGCTCACAGTAGACTGTATTCAGACTCTCAGCCAGAAACCTCAGCATTAACCTCAATTTCCCTTCCCATCACCCTTCATTCGTATATCCCATGTACATTTCTTCATCTCTGGGGACAGGTCTACCTGACTACCTGTGGTAGAAGAATCCCCACATCTTCCTTCGTAAGTTGTTTTTCTATAGTTACAAAGCCCAGGAAGGAAATGGAAATCCCAGTGCCAGTGGCCTATGTGTATCAATTTAAATCATTTGGGAAACATTTGACTTTGGGTCTAAAATTGGAAAATTGAAGCAAATGCCTAGGATATTCTGCTGTCTCCAAAAGGCACCTTCATGGAAGGACCAGGTTGGTACCATGGGCCAGAGAGTAGATGAATGGGACCCAAGTGGTGTATTTGAATTCACTTGGGACCAGATTCCTACTCTCTCTTCCATAACCCCATGACGCATTGCTCTCTCCAGCTTTCTAATTTGAAGATACAAAACTGATTTTCAGGGACTTTAGAAAAGGACAATGTTTTCATAAAATCACCACTAAAATATTACAGAAGTCATGAGGTTCATCCATATACAGGACCAATGTTTTTTACATAGCCATGTCAAAGACTAAGTAGATATGGTGGCAATTTTCAGTTTTCTATTTTTTTCCAATATTGTATTTTACTTTTCTAATCTTTCTGGCCATTTTAATAATGACTGTGAAATAATGTGATTCCGGTAATATCCACGGTGGAAAATAGTCAAAGTAATTACATTATTTTTGTCACAGTATAGTCTACTAGCGATGAATATTAACTCTAGGAAAGTTCATCTCCGTAGAGCACTAAACTTTGTGTTGCAAAGCACTCAATATTTATTTAAGAGAAAACAGATAAAACAGTCACATGACGAAACACATTTAGTAAGTGCTCCACATGGTACCCACTACTGGAAGATATGCAATGCATATATTTATATTAAACATGGTAGTGATAAGTCCTACAGTAAAGTAATATGTTTAGTTTAACTCAGCATTTTCTTTAACAACATTTTTATATAGCTTTAAGTAACGTCTACTGATGCATTTTTGTTTTCTGGTTTTTTTTTTTTTTTTTTTTTCTGAGATGGAGTCTTGCTTTGTTGATCAGGCTGGAGTGCAGTGGCGTAATCTCAGCTCACTACAGCCTCTATCTCCCGGGTTCAAGTGATTTTCCTGCCTCAGCCTCCTGAGTAGCTGGGATTACAGGCACCTGCCACTATGCTTGGCTAATTTTAGAATTTTTAGTAAAGATGGGGTTTCACCATGTTGGCCAGGCAGGTCTGGAACTCCTGACCTCAGGTGATCTGCCTGCCTCAGCTTCCCAAAGTGCTGGGATTTCAGGCATGAGCCACAATGCCTGGCCTCTGATGTATTTTTGAAGTAGTATTCCATAGAAGATTCTTAGCAATAAATTGTCCTATAGAGTTATTTCAAGGTAACTAGAAGTTTGAGGAAGCAATAATGGCCAATCACTTCTGCAATCATCTGGTTAAAAGACAAAGTCCCATGTCATCCTTGAGAAGGCTAATCACTCTCATAAATTTGGTTTGCAATTCCTTTGTAAACCAAGAAGATAGAAGCATTGACTTTGTTGTTCATCTCTGAAAAGTAATCAACTGTGGGAATGGGGCAAGTCATTTAACTCCTCTAGAATGGATTGTCCTCTTCTTTAAATTGGATGTAGTGTTAACTGAATCATGTACCTAATATATTTGTTGATAAAACACATCATACAATGGCAGAACCATATTTAAAAATGGTCACCAATTATCATGATTGTTATAATTATCCCTAAATTGCTCTTCCAACTCGAAAGCCAATAATCTATGAATATTCCATAGTATTCTCAAAATCCATTTTTACTCAATTACAAAACACACATATGTTTCTCACCCCTTTTGTCGAAAGGCTGTTGGCTTTACAAATTTATCAAGCAAAATTCATTCATGTCAATAGGATATTGAGGCACAAAAAACCAAAAGATACTCTTTCCTTTGCAATATTTAGGATCTAAAATCATTCCAGGGTTAACCGAGTGTGCATTTTTCACAGCGCACAGCTGTGTCTACAGACACAGCTGGCACAGCATGCTTCCAGCCTCTGATGGACCAGCAAACTGGACCTGAATCTGGAGTTGAGATATGAACTCTGACAACCAATGTAGAATGACTGGGGACATGAGTCACAGGAATCCTAATTTTGTCTAGATGTGTGACAAGAGACTCTCACTTTAGATGCTCTAGATAGTAATATATTTAATATGTATTTGAAGAAAAGTATTTTTCAAGCATGACAAAGAAATCTACCTGAACTGGTTTTTATCTCCACCAGTATTTGAGCATATGTTTTGTTGAAAATGATTCAGGTATTTTTTTTCTATTTCATATCCAAAGATGCAACCAATTTTATTCCATATTCTTCTTGCCAGGAAGATCATGCTTTAATGCAGCTTCACATGCTCAACTTTGATGTTTTATTAGGCAAAGCTCAAACAAGAAAATTTGATAAATCAAGAAAATCAATATTTCTAAAAACTTTATTGCCCTGGAAGTCCCACTGAAGACCACAGCTGTTGGGTCCATTCATGCTGGAGTAATTGAAGGGAGCAAAGCAGACTCTTTTCACTGCATTTTATTTTTGTGGGATGGTTCACAGATTTTATTGATTTTCAGAACTCATGTGCATGACAAATACAGCATGGCTCAGTGAACTCAGTACATCACAGTTACGGAAGAAAGCAGCTCTCTGCATTGATGATTTGGCTTCTCCATTGCAGTGACTTGGAGGGTGACCTCAGACAGGTTAATGCAGCTTGCCCTGCCTCTGTGATCTCAAATTTAACACAGGGGAAAGGACGTACCACTATTTCGCTTCTTGAGGCATTTGCAAGCAAAGAACAGGCTAATAACTGTGTACAGTTCTAGTGAACTGTTAAAAAATGTTTAGATGGTCATTGTGTCCTGATGCTAATGTAATGCCTTTCTATAGGCTATTCATTAAATAACAGAAGAAAAAAGTCTATGTTTATTTAAATAGTGGGATGGAGAATATATAAACCCAGGCAAAATAAAATTGAATAGGACCAAGATTCACTCATTCATTTAACATTTATTCAGTACCTAGTGTGCAGTGTGCTAGTTTCTGGTAATATGAAGATTAATAAGATTTACATGTGACCATAAAGAACTGTACAGTCAGAAAAGGAGGAAGGCTTGTAAACAGATGGTAATGATAGGAGAAAGTAGGCACCCAGGGCAATAAGCGCCTTGGAGCATGGAGGAAGTGTGAGTGACCTTATCTGGGGGACGTGACACAAACCAGGGACAAGCCACAGCAGAGTGAGGGGGCACACTGGGGAAGGGCATGCAGGCAGAAGGAATTGTTTCTGCAAACTCGTGACATGTTCAGTGAAGCACAAGATAATGAAAAGACATGGTAGGACAAACTGAATTTAGTTCTAATATTGGCAAAGAATTGCTCTTGGTGTTTTCTCATTATCAGAGCAATTATTCGAGGATATTATAATACCACTTAAATCTTTAGCTCCACGTCTGGAGTTTGGTTTAAAATAGAATGTCTGCCTTAGAAATTGAATATGACTCTGCTGTTCTTAGCCCAGTCTTGGCTCCCCATCAAACCTAGAATAAAATGCAAAATCCTCTTGTGACAAGCACAGCCCCCTGCTCTCTTTCCCTGCTGCTGGCCTGCTCACTTGCTGTGCCACCAGCCACTCTGATTTTTCTTGACTTTCCTGGCTCAGCTCTCTGCATTTGCTGCTCCTTCTGCCTCTAACACATGTCCCCCATATTGCATGTCTCACTCTCTCAGTCACATCTTAGCTCAGATGTCACCTCTTCAGGAGGCCTTTACTGACTGCTGTCTCCAAAGAGCATCCTCCACTCACCCTTATCCCCTTATATGGCTTTATTTTTACTTTAGAGCATTTATCACTACTTGGCATTACATAATAATGTATGTCCATTTACATGCTTAACTTCTAACTCCCCATAGTGGGTTGAATTGTGCCCCTTCCCCACTGAAAGATATGTCACTCTCTTAAGCCTGAGAAAACCTGTGAAGGTGATTTGGAAAAATGAACTTTTTAGGTATAATTAAGGTAAGGATTTCAGGACAAAATCATTTTGGGGTAAGTCCTAAATCTAGTGACCAGTGTCTCCATTAAAGAAGGGAAAGGTGGAGAACAGACACTCTCTTGATTTATGCTAACAATGGGGGTAATAATAACAATAGCTAATATTTACACACAAAGAACTTTGTTTCATTTTATCCTTTAACTATGCTAACAACCACATAAGATGATGAATTATCATGACCCCATTTACAACCGACTAAATTAAAACTCAGAATAATCCTGGTGACATCTCCTGTGATCACATGTGAAATGCCTCATCAGGGTGCCTCACCAAGCAGAATGGAGAATCTCAGGTAGGACAAGTGCATTTTAAAAGGCTTCCAGAAAAGTGCGTCTTAAAAGGCTTCCAGACAGGTGAGGCCCATCTCAGTCTCCATGCTTCTTATTTATCTATGCCTCTAGCATTGGCATTAGTAGTAGAAAAAAGAAGTGGACCTCCATCGGGAGTGTAAGATATGCAATTATTACAGCCGGTATTTTTATACATATTATCACATTCAATTCTCTCAACGCCTCTGCCAGGCTGCTGTCATTGATTTCAATTTACGGAACGGAGATTAACACAAACCTAGTGAGAGAAGTGAATGGCAGTTTGAAGTTTGCTATGGTTCACTTGAACGTTTCTGATCTTTCTGCAATAAACAACTCTCAGACTACACTGATCTGTGCTCACAACTTGTTATTCCAACTCTTTTATGACCCCCCCCTTTAAGCTTTCAGATGTTATTTTCTAGGCTTTTACAACTAGTCTGCATTGCCTGGCCCTTTTCATCTGTGCTTTCTTCACCCTTTTAAGAGAGACTCCCCCCTCAACCCCCACTGGCCACCACCTAATGCTTGTTTCCCCAAGAGTCTGAGTGTTTTTGCTGCTTTCTCTTCTGGACAGCTGAGTAGGATGTGAAATAGGAGGTTCTAAAACAACCTTTGGAATTTCCATGGCTCTTTTACACCCTACTTTAACTCAGCAGAAATTTTATTTTACTTTTCTGTTTTGCTTTCTTGTCTTCTTTATTTCCTGATGCTCCTTCTTCTTAACTTTGTGAACCCCAGGAGGTCTGGGAATATTGCTCTACAGCAAGATAAGCTACTCTCAAGAAAGGTCAATCTGCCAACAGAAGCCTAAAAAACTAAGTATTAAAAAAATATGCTTTGCTGTGACAAGTACAGATAACAATCTGTTCTCTACATCCTCCTCAACCTCTATCCCGCTTTATAAATAAAAGTATTCTCAGTTGCAGACATTTTCAAACTTTATGGGTATATCTAATCAGGATACAGGCAAGAAATAGTCCAGAGTAGGGATTTATTATGCTTTGTAATAACAGGAGGAAATAGCAAAGTGCTCTTTGCACTCTATATTTTCTCTTGGGATGATTACTTTTTAGGTGCTTAAAATAGTTCTTGTAAGGCAAGACTGGTAAACTGTCTCAATCCACTAAGTTAATTTCTAAGGAAAAAGACTAATATCTTTCATTACTATCATTGTTTGCAAAACATTTATGACTTGTATTTCTATTGTATCCAGTAGCATCTTTACTGAGTAAATAAATTAATCAACAGTTTCATTTCAAGATCTTGTGTCTGTAGGTTGAACTGAAAGAGTTATCACTAAATGGTAAGATTAATGCATTTTTTTCCAAATGAATGTAACCTGGGGAAGCAAATATTGAATTAACATTTTCTAATTACAGCATTCATTAATAAAACTTTACTGCACTAATTCCATTACCTAATCGCTGTTGAAAATAAGATCTATATATTGTAACACAAAGGTTTTTTTTTGTTGTTGTTTTTTGTTTTTTTTTTTTTTAAAAAAAGCTCTCCCTTGTTTTTTCAATCTTCACAATAACCTAGATATAACTGGACAGGTCGAATGATGTCTACATAGGCAGAAACAGAGGCTCACTGGGGAAAAACTTGCTTGGAGTATTTGAATATTTTACTGTATCTGAAGTAAACATCTCTTCACTGGTATCCTTTCTCGCAATAATACAATATTTCTTTTATTCTTCTATTTTGCACTGCCACCTCTATTCTAATATGCATTGGCATTTAGTATAGTGCGGTTAGGGGAACAAAAATTCTAAGGTAGGAAAAGGAACTAAGGTCTAAAGATCCAGTGGATACTAGGCAAGGTTAGATATTTCACATGTGCTATTTAATCCTCATGAAAAATTATAATGTGCCCTCTCCAAGAGAGAAGAAATTGAGAACTCTAAAAGCTCCACATTTAACAGGTTTTGGCAGAGTTGCATTCTTTCCATTGGAAGGAGAATAATTAATTTTTTATCAGGCTGTCAAGGATGTTTAGTCTTTTTGGTAACAGTTCACAGCACTAAGACACATTGGACTGTCACATTTCTATGAACTGTAGCAACTTCAAAGATCATTTAATAATTCATCAGGGAAAGTTTCTAGTATTGTAGTGGCAAGAAGATATGAGACTGGCTATAGATTTGGCACAGGTAGAAATTACAGTTATTCAGTGTGGTAAAATTTATCACTGTAAACTGAAAGAACCAAAAGAATTCCAATTAGATATCTTGTCAGTTTTATTATTTGTATCACTGTATTCCTTTTGAATAATCTAAATGGGTTTATATGTTTTCCAAATATAATGATGCCCTTATAAGGAAGTTTTTAGCATTTAAAATAAAGAAGTAAAAAGATATTTATTTTCTGTTTTTTATATTAACTAATGTTTTTATATGCAGCAATTTATTCACATATATCTACGTCTATCTCCATTTTTCTCTCTTATATATAGACACATACAATAAAAACTGTAGCTCATGTTTGCATGTTTTTGTTTGTTTCTGGTTCTTTAAATCTTCAAGAATGTAATTGGATTACAAACTATCTGAATATGCCATGAGTGACCGTAAGTGACCCTCTAAAGCGTTTTAAAGGATGATAATACAACTGACTACGGAAGGGGAGAGAGGAGGTACTCTCTGAAATTAGGCATGGCACTGTGTCATGCTGGCTTTGGCAGATTCAAAAGATTGAGAACTGTGGTTTTTTTGAAATTTTAAAATTTATGTATATGTTATGCTCACACAAAATTTCTTTCTTCAAGATTCATAATCAATAAACACAGGAAATAGCTGTCCTGGAATCTTCTATTCCCCAAAAGTAACCTGTCATAGAGGTAGCAATATGCAGCTTTATTTTTCCTTTGGAATTTATGAGTACCAGTCTTGGATTGTATCTATGGGTAGGGAGGTTAAATGGACAAGAATCAGGGACCGATGATGCTATCAGCCTTTAAGGAATTGTATGACATGAGGAGAAACTGTAATAGAAAGCTGGTTTTAGCAGCAGCTGAAATGACCCATTGCAAGAGAAGAGAGACTAGCGACAGATAAAGTACTAAAGAGAAATTTTCGATGAGGCTATGAATTTAGCATATTCTCAGGCACTCTAATCTAATTTGTTGTGACCATGGGGACTTCGGTGAAAAAGAGCTCCCTCCTTCCAGTGCCCATTATTAATGTAGTTTACCCTCTTTGACTGATCAAGTTTTCAAGCACAGAATTGCTTCCAATGTTAATAGTCACAGTCATCTGACCAGCAGTTAATCCCTTTCTCCCATTGGCTATTAGAGGAGGAAGAGTTTATGGGCATTCTCCAGCCATGTCTGTGATTGGTCCTGACCTTGAAGACCTGCCAATGAGATCCATGGAGAAATTTGAAAGACTGTTTTGTAAGCAGCCTTCTCTTCCTTGCAGAATTTTCTCATAGCAGACAAATCTAAGGGGGTTATATGCACTAAAACAGCACGAATTTAAATCAGTGAAGATGGAAGGCTGCCATCATGCCATTATGCTGTAGCTGGACCTTATCTGACATGTGGTCAGCTTGCTTTTATTGGAATAAATCTAACCAAATAGATTTGTCTACAATTTACAGACTTACAGATTGTTAGTAGTGGAAGGGACTTCTGAAATCTAGCTCAGCTCCCAGATTTAACATGTGAGCAGAGGGTTCTATAGGATATACTACCCATGTATCCAGTCTCTCTGGAATCCAATTGTCCCAAAGTTAATCTCATTTAGGACTTTATCCTTCTATGCCCCACTGCCCTTTTTCAAATCCAGGCTCCCTTTACTGTCTGAACAAGTCACTTCTCTATGACTCAGTCTCATCATTAGTAACATAGAAGTAGTGTATTAGCCCATTTTGGATTGTTATAAAGGAATTGCTGGGGCTGGGTAATTTATTTTAAAAAATAAAAATGTTTAGTTGGGTCACAGTTCTGCAGGCTGTATGGGAGACATGGTACCAGCATCTGCTTGGCTTCTAGTGAGGCCTAAGGAAGCTTTTATTTAAAGCAAAGGGGGAGCAGGCATGTCATATGATGAGAGAGGGAGCAAGAGAAATGTCAGGCTCTTTTAAACAACCAGATGTCACAGTAAGTAATAGAGTGAGAATTCACTCATTACTATGGGGAGGTTATTGAGCCATTCGTGAGGGATCCACCCCATGACCAAAACCCCTCCCACCAGGCCCCACATTCACCATGGGGGATCACATTTCAACATGAGATTTGGAGGGGACAAGCATCCAAATTGTATCAGGTAGTTATGGTATATAGGTCATTTGACTTTTGTGAAAATTAAAATGAGCTACTATGTGTCTGGCAAGTAGTAAACATCATATAATTGTGGCTATCTTGTGTGCTTGTGATTAGCATCTATTATTGGAAGAAGGAATGTACTGCATGGTATTTCTAGAGACCATTGCTTCTCAACTAGGAGTGCTTTTGGCCCCAGGGGACATTTGGCCTGGTCTCCATTTTTGATAGTCCCAACTCCAGACTAGGGGACTGCTTCTAGCATCTAGTAGGTGGAGGCCAGAGATTCTTCTAAGCATCTTATCATGAGTATGTCATTCCCCACAGTGAAGAATTACCCAGTCCCAAATATCAGTAGTGTGGCAATTGAGAAACCCTGCTCTGTATGGAAAAAATAATTTGAATCTTAAGTATGAATTTAAATTTTTACAGAATGCTTAAATTATAATTTATAGGTGAGAGAGGGTTTCCTCATTTCAACCACATGCATATAAGCTATCCCTCCATGGTAAGGCATATATGTAAGATTTATGCATTCATATCACCTTCCCCATTCTGCCCAAGTAATTGGCTCTTGTGATCTAAGCAATTTTAAACCATCCATTTTTTTTTTGTATATGAGAAGGTATACATTATTAGCACTTTATGTAATGAGTATTCAATTGGATTATGTAGATAGTTTGCTTTTTTTTTTTAGACTTCAGAGTGAATAGAACAAGAAATCTTATGATCAGCAGTCATTATAGACATATTTGCAGATACATTTTATATGCAACAGTGATGTGTTATTACAACTATTGAAATAGAAGACTTTGTGGCCAACTTTCCCAACCATTTACATTGTTTTCAGTAGTGCATTGGAAGTGTTCTTCCCATCCCAGTGGTCCTCTTTTTCTTTTGATGTTTTATTGATGCAAAGAGACAGTTCTGACCTTCATATAATCTGCAAGGATTTTTCTTTTTATTTAACAAAAGAAATCACAAAATTAAATGTACTACAAGTTGAATATCCATAATCTGAAAACTTAAGATCCGAAATGCTGCAGAATATAAACATTTTTGAATAAGTGAAGACTTGCCATTTTTGATTGCTGGTGTTTTTAAACAGATAACAGGTATTCTGGTGACACTGCTGTGCTCCTTGGTTACCCTGAACATATTATGTTTTCACTGCATTAACAATATGCCATATATTTTACTGTTAAGTACTTATGTGTGAATAAATGTAAGAAAATAAATGCTTATTAATAGCATATAAATTCAGAGTCAGGAATGATAATGATGCCAAACAACCACAGATTGTCCACATGGGTGGTTGAGATTGGGACACCTTTGCTTTCTGATGGTTCAGTGTACACAAACTTTGTTTCAGGCGCAAAATTATTAAAATATTTTATAAAGTCACCTTCAGGCTATACGTATAAGGTATATATGAAACATAAACAAATTTTAGATTTAGGCTTGGAACTCATCCCCAAGCTATAAAATAGCTTCTATCTGCAAATACGTATGCAAATATTCCAAAATCCAAAAAAAATCTGAAATCTAAAACACTTGTAGTCTCAAGCGTTTCAGATAACAGACATTCGGCCTTATGTATCTGAGATTGTTTAGAAATCGTAGCCTTCCCCAAAAGCAGTTTTGTGCATATGCTTAAGTTTATAGGGTAATATGGTCCCTTTAAAATTCTGAATAACCAAGAGACTACAGGGACTGTTGCCCAAAGAGGAGAGATAATGCTTCCAGCTACACAGTTGTTACATTTCATTGTGAGCAATATTATCATATAAGAGCCTCTTTTAATGAAAATATTAACACAAAACTCTGCCAAAGGAGCTATTTTTAAAAAGTGCATGTGTCATATATATAGATATAATCTATAAATGTACAGACATAAATATGTATATATTTAGTTTAATTAAATTTAAACATAATTCTGTATCTGAAGATTTTTTCCTTCTTTTCTTTGTTGTATTAGTCAGCTATGGCTGCATCAATGCTGTGTAACAAACTGTCCCAAAACACAGTGGGCTTGCAATTCCAAGTATTTATCTTCAGATTCACAGGTCTGTATGTGACTTGGTTCAGCTGATCTAGACTGGGTTCTGCTGGGAGACTCAGTTGAACAGCAGATTTTGGCATTTCTACTCCACATTCATTTGTCCTAGTGCCCAGTCTCAGGGGCATGGTTTGATCACAGTGGATCACCACAGCACAAGAGCCAAGCCAAACCCAGCAATATGAATGTGATGAGGAAATATTTTTTTCCGTGGTAGAAAGGAAGAGAAATTGGAGTAGATATTTGTAAAATAACATTTCCTATTATCATACCTTCTCTTTATTTCAGATAAGAATAAATTTTCTCTTTCTTCTGGAGTTTTTAGTTCTGCCCCTTGAAACCTCCAGAATGGAGACCAGTTACCAGAAACGTCAACCCAGATCTGCAGAGCCCCATTCAGCTTGATGTTCTATGGTACACATCTATGTTTTCCCACATTATAATGATATGTTAATGTATGCATGGATATGGTTAACTTGTTAGAGACAATAATTTAATTATAGACTCAGACATTCCACAACATAAACAACTTATCATGGAAGGAAGACATAAGAATGGCTCAAACATTCAGATTTAGTATGAGTATAATTATGAAATAATATGCCAATTAGGAAATGCAAATACCTTTTAAGAAAAACAAACATTTTAGAATATGTTATGTCTTCTCCTAGAAAGCATACATTAGTGAATCAGAGAGGAAAAAGAATATACAATCTTTCGGTTCATGGCAAGTTAGTTTCTGTTTCTCTCTCTTCGAATTACATCTATCTGTCTTGGTCTCTTGCTATCTCTGATTTATTTTCTTTGCTTTATATGAACTAGGGCTCAAACTCCCTGTGAAGAGTCAACTTTTTGCTTTTCCTTAGTTTAGACTACCCATTCAATATAAATCTTGTAATCCTGATAGAAAGTCTGTGAGAATTCTAAGAATTCTAAGAATGGCCCCCAATAACCCCTCACCCTTGCAAAATAATTGTGGGTAGAACCTAAGAATATGGTGAAATGTCATTGCTATGATTATAGGTCCCCAATGATTGACCTTCAAATAGCAAAATTATGTGAGTGGGTCTAATCTAATCTTGTGATTAAATCTAGTCCTATAATTCCTTTATTATCCAAGAAGAGATCCTGATCAAAACCCCAATAAAGGGTTCTTAGGTCTCGCATAAGAAAGAATTCAAGGCAAGTCCATAGAGTAAAGTGAAAGCAAGTGTTGGTGGGAGTGTACATTAGTTCAACCATTGTGGAAGACAGTGTGGCAATTCCTGAAGGATCTAGAACTAGAAATACCATTTGACCCAGCAATCCCATTACTGGGTATATACCTTAGAGATTATAAATCATTCTACCATAAAGACACACGCACACGTATGTTTATTGCAGCACTATTCACAATAGCAAAGACTTGGAACCAACCCAAATGTCCATCAGTGATAGACTGAATAAAGAAAATGGGCACATATACACCATGGAATACTATGCAGCCATAAAAAAGGATGAGTTCATGTCCTTTGCAGGGATATGGATGAAGCTGGAAACCATCATTCTCAGCAAACTAACACAGGAACAGAAAACCAAACACTACGTGTTCTCCCTCATAAGTGGGAGTTGAACAATGAGAACACATGGACACAGGGAGGGGAATATCTCTCACCGGGCCTGTCGTGGGTTTGGGGGCTAGGGGAGGGAGAGCATTAGGACAAATACCTAATGTAGGTGACAGGTTGATGGGTGCAGCAAACCACCATGGCACGTGTATAGCCATGTAATAAAACTGCACGTTCTGCACATGTAACCCAGAACTTAAAGTGTAATAATAATAAAAAAAGAAAGTAAAGGAATAAAAGAATGGCTACTCCATGGGCAGAGCAGCCCCGAGGGCTGCTGATTGCCCTTTTTTATGGTTCTTGATTACATGTTATCCAAGGGGTGGATTATTAATGAGTTTTCCAGGAAAGGGGTGGTTAATTCCCAGAACTGAGTGTTCCTCCCCTTTTTAGACCATGTAGGGTAACTTCCTGACATTGTCATGACATTTGTAAACTGTCATGGGAGTGTCTTTTAACATGCTAATCCATTATAATTAGCGTATAATGAGCAGTGAGGACGACCAGAGGTCACTCTCCTTGCTATCTTGCTTTTGGTGGGTTTTGATGTATATCTTGTGCTGACCTCCTATTTCATCCTGTGACTTAGAATGCCTAACCTCCTGGGAATGCAGCCCAGCAGATCTCAGCCTTATTTTACCCAGCCCCTATTCAAGATGGAGTCGTTCTAGTTCAAATGCCTCCGACAACTTAAAAGTATAAAGCTTTCTCCAACCAGTGGCAGAAGAACAAGCCAGAAAGATTTGAAGCAAGTTTATTATGAAAGTAAAGGAATAAAAGAATGGCTACTCCATGGGCAGAACAGCCCCAACAGCTGCTGGTTGCCCATTTTTATGATTCTTGATTACACATTAAACAAGAGGTGAATTATTCATGAGTTTTCCAGGAAAAGGGTGGGCAATTCCCAGAACTAAGGGTTTTGCAAAGGACTTGATGCACTTGAAGGTTTGAAGATGGAGGCTCTGTGTGAGAAGGAATGCAGGGCAGCCTCTGGTTGCAGAGAGCAGCACCCGGTTTGACAGCTAGCAATGCAATTGTGACCTCAGACCTACAATGTCAAGGAATTGGCTTCTGCCAACAACCAGAATGAGCATGAAAGTGGATTAGTCCTTGGAACTTCCAGATAAGAGCCCAGCCAGCTATACTTGGATTTCAGCCTGTGAGATTCTCAGCAGAGAACCCAGTCAAGTGTGTCCAGACGTCCAACCTACAGAACTGTGAGATAATAAATAGATACTTATTTTAAACTACTCAATTTTTGGTAATTTGTTATGTGGAGCTATAAAGTTAATACAATGTCTTAAATTTTTTATGTATGTGTTTGTGTGTGTGTGTGAGAGAGAGAGAGAGAGAGAGAAAGAGACAGAGAGAGAATTTCTCATAGGCTGACTCTAGGTCAGTGGTACTCTATTTTTCAATGCTATGTCAGCCTGAAATAATTGAAAGGACCAGAATCCAGGTTTGAAGAGTTTATTCATGCAAAAAGCTGGGAAAGACCATCCGGAAAATATGAACTCCAGAGAAATGGGATCAGTACTCAGATGTTAAAAGTTAAGGTCTTGCTTATATAGGCAGAAAATAAATCAATTTAACAGTATTATAACATTTTTTGTACAAGGCTAGTTTAGGAGTCACAACAATTTAATAAATTATGGTTCGTTTTCTTATCCATAAAGGTTATTTTTATTTCCTTTCCAATTTAAGAGTATATTTAACATTCCATCGTAGACAATGCGGTAGTCATGAAGTATGTGTGAGAGAAGAAAGATGGAAGGTAATCTATAATGAAAATCAACACTTAAAAGGAAAAAGGTCTTCTTCCCTGGCACCCTTTAGTCATTTGCAACATTTTACAAGACAATGTAGGTAAGGAAAAGGCTAATCTGTAATCGGAGAAACAAAGGTTACACCTGCTGACTTTACAACTGTCTGCTTATGAGATTTAGTTCACATTCCCTTTAAGCTCAAAATATTTTAAAGTTCCAGCAGCTTAAATTTTGAATTACTTATTTTCACAGCTGACATATTAGCTACAACAAAGCAAACAACATAAACAGTATTAGGTCCCTGTTTTTGAATTGGCTTTGAAGTTTACTTACATCATCTAATACCTCTATTGTAGAGCAAATTTAGGTTTCATGGGGTCCAGAGATTACACAGTTTTAGGATTCTCTTATGAAAAAAAAATACATGCTTAAAATATAAAACTAAGTGTAAAAATGAATAGTTAGGATTAGGAATGATCAATTTTGAAATTACAGTTTTTAGAAAACTGACAAATGATATACATATGAAAAAATTAAAAGAGTAACATTCTAAAATAAAATAGCTGCCTTATAGATCTGTGTGATAGTTTTCCTGGTTCTTGCTTGCATAAAGTTGAATGATTTTGCACTACTTTTAGTATAGAAGATAGAAAAATAATTCAGGCTTATCACAGAGTTGATAAACATTTATTTTTTATTGTCAATAGGAAAGCTTTATTTTACTTCATAATTCATTATTTGTAATATTATATACATTTTTAGGATTGTTGTCAAATTTGGGAATGTCTATTGATTTCCTTTAGTAACGTAAGTTGTAATATTTCATGACATTTTAAGCTTTGTTGTACATTAATTTAAAATCATCATTGAATTGACAGTATTCATTGAACAGTTTACTTCTGATAGTCTCATTTTGGTGGTGTATTGCATTTTGTTATTTTAATAAATGTTAGTACTTTGTTTCATTTCAACATGAAATTAATTTTTAATGTAATTATTTGATTCATTATTTATTCCTCTTTGTTACTTAGATTCACTATTCTGAATCCAAGAGCTTCTTCATTACTTCTTGTAAAAATTTCTCTCTCTTGTACTAATGATTGTTTCTTTTGGTGTGTTCCATATATTTATATATATATTTTTATATATATTTGATGCTATTACAACTTTCTTCTTCATGCAACGTAATTCGTAAGTTCACAATTTCACTTTTTATTTTGATCACTTTTGTTTTACATTGTATTATTACTTTAATCTAAATTCTACCACACTTCTTTAATAACTTGCTTTATAAATATCAATAAAGGTAATTTCATAACGTCCTAATCAAGAGCTTTATATTTTTCGCTATTTTATTGAAATTTTAAAACATGTTTATAAATTGTAATTAAAATGATATATTTGAGCTTTCTCAAGCTTTTGAATATTTTCAAGCTCGATTTTATTTGAGTTATTTTTTCAAGTCTTTAAAAATATATTTTTGAAGCCTTAAAATATTTTTGACTCTAAGTTATTAGGCTTAACTGACTTTGAAATGAGCAGTCCATCCACTATTCCTGTTCTTCCAGAGTTGGGGACTTCCAGTGATGCTCATTTCACTTTTGGGTCGCCTTTGAATTATGACACTAGATGAGTTGGCACATTGGGTGGTAGACACATCTGTGGAAGCCATTCCTACCCTAGGACACTCATCCATAACCTGACTGTACATAAAAAGCTATGAACCCATAAATAAAACTACATGTTCTCTTACTTAGCTGCATTCTAAAAATGTCCACAGTTGCCTTCAAGTCTAAAAGATATGAAAGAAAGCGTGCCATAGAAAACTTGTAGCAGAAAAGGAGCAGTATTAACTAATTATAGTTAAACTATCTTACTTTCTAAATATTAGAAAATTAGGCGGGGCTTGGTGGCTCATGCCTGTAATCCTAGCATTTTTGGAGGCTGAGGTTGGAGGATTGCTTGAGCCCAGGAGTTGAAGATGAGCCTGAGCAACATAAGGAGACTCCATCTCTACAAAAAAATTTTAAAAGTAGCTGAGCCTGGTGGCAGGTGCCTGTGTTCCTAGCTACCCAGGAGGCTTATACAGGAGGATCACTTGAGCCCAGGAAGTCAAAGCTACAGTGAGGGTGATTATGCCACTGCACTCCAGTGTGGGTGACAGAGTGAGACCCTGTCTTGAAAAGAAAAGAAAAGAAATAAATAGAAAGCTTATAAGACTATATGACTTGAACATTTTGCTAGAATTTATTGGGTAGGATACTGGACTGTGCAGTGGAGGGGTCTGAAGCCTAAGCTTCGTTAACTTCACTATAAATCTGACTCTGGAGGTGGCACAGCGTTCCTTAAAGGTTACCTTTGACATTCTTTTATACAGTGAACTCTCCACTCACTCCCAGAGCCTGACTGCCTGGCTCAAGTTTAAGACTAGAATAAACATTCCCTCAGGGAAAGGAAAAGGGTAAGAGTAGGTTTATCAGCATAGGAATGTCAATAAATTGGGATAAGGCTGAAGCACTACTAATCAAAGAACAAGTTGGGAATTTTATCAGACTGCAGTACCAACTCAGGTTGATATTGATAGCCAAGTGGATGAGAGATGTCTTAGGATCTCTGTAATTTTTTCATCTCTCTCTCTCTCTCTTTTTTTTTTTTTTTTTGTTTTCTTTTGTGATGGAGTCTCACTCTGTTGCTCAGGCTGGAGTGCAATGGCACAGTCTCGGCCAGCTGCAACCTCTGTCTCCTGGATTCAAGCAATTCTCCCACCTCAGCCTCCCAAGTAGCTGGGATTACAGGCATGCGCCACCATGCCTGGCAAATTTTTGTATTTTTAGTAGAGATGATGTTTCACCATGTTGGACAGGCTGGTCTCAAACCCCTGACCTCAGGTGATCCACCCACCTCGGCCTCCCAAAGTGCTGGGATTACAGGCGTGAGCCACCGTGCCAGGCCTCATCTCTTGATTTATGGTCATGAGTGATGCTTTAAAACACTCTAAATAATAGATCATGTGGCCTCAAAAGAAGGACTGAAAAAACCTCTGAACACCTACAGCAGGGCCTCCAAACAATGCATTCCTGTCCTGTGAGGTGATAATATGTATTCTTTATAAGTTAGATCTGTAGTCAAAAACGTTTGGTAAATAATGGATCAAACAAGATTAAACTAGTTTTTCTTTCTACAGGAGTTACCTTGATCCTTTCATAAGCTACTAAAATTTGTACATGTTTAAGAGTAAGATAAAGTACAGTGAATCATCATTATTTAGGGTAGTTATATTTTATAAAGTCATCTTGAACACTGAATTGGTGAATCCAGAGCCATTGTTTTTAGGGGAAATGCAAGGTAAGGTTAAATTCTCATGAGCCTCTCTCTTGTACGTATTCTCCTGATTTGAGCCTTCATGCTGAAGTACCCATGCTCACAATTTTAGCTGTGGCTCACTGTTAGAAAACTGTTGCTGAAATGTTATCTATGTACATGTAAGGTTGTCTATTTTTGTTATTAAAGGTTGTCAGGTGACAGTGTGACCGTATACTATAAATTGTAGAACTTCTTCTTTTAAATATTTGGCAATATGACTGTTTTGTAAAAGCAAAAAACAGACTCCTCCCAAGATAACATGTGCTCTAGGATTCATACAGAAATATATTTGGTGAGGCCACATGGTTTAGTAGAAAGAAATATTGAGATTTTCAAATCTGAAGGCCTAATTAAGTTTAAGACCCAGTATTAATATTGGTTATAATAATGCGTGACTACATACAAGCTAATAAAACTTTGTTCACTCCTATTTGAGCTTGTGTAAATAAGCACAAAATAATTCTTTTTTTTTTTTTTTGTCTGTTTGTTTGTTTGTTTTTGAGAAGGAGTCTAGCTCTGTTGCCCAAGCTGGAGTGCAATGGCACAATCTCAGCTCACTGCAACTGCCACCTCCCGGTTCAAGCGATTCTCCTGCTTCAGCCTTCCGAGTAGCTGGGATTACAGGTGCCCGCCACCATGCCCAGCTAATTTGTGTACTTTTAGTAGAAACGGGGTTTCACTGTGTTGGCCAGGCTGGTCTTATACTCCTGACCTCGGGATCCGCCTGCCTGGGCCTCCCAAAGTGCTGGGATTACAAACGTGAGCCACTGTGCCCGGCCTCACAAAAGAATTCTTACACAGCATATAAAATGGTATCTGACACTGAGTTTGAAGTGGAAGGGGAACTCAGTAAATGTCAGCTCAATCTGGACATGACTATTTCAGTGATCCATTTCCTGTAAGATCTGATACAAATCTGTAAACAAAGTCATTGGGCATTATGGATAATTTTTAAATTTTCTTAATTTATAATACCAAATAAACCAATGTTAGGAATGTAAAGAATCCCTGAAACTTACAACTGCACTCATCAATTTTGTTTCCATCCCACCCTCCCTTTCTCCCTTCCTTCTTTGGCACTTTCTGTTGGTTATTTTAATTTAGGAATTCTCACTCTTACAAAAGGAGGTCCTGGAGTTTAGGAGAAGATACTTTAGCTGAGGTGATGGAAAGGGTGGAACTAGAAAACTTCAGAGGCCTTATTGCATTTGTGGCAGTTCAAATGGTGCTTTTATGCATTGGATGGATTTTGAGAGTGTATTAGTTCATTTTCACACGTTATAAAGAATTGCCTGAGACTGGGTAATTTATAAATAAAAGAGATTTAATTGACTCACAGTTCTGCATGGCTGGAGAGGCCTCAGGAAACTTACAATCATGGCAGAAGGAGAAGCAAGTCCTTGCTTCACAAGGCGGCAGGAGCGAGAGAGAGCAAAGGGGAAACTGCCACTTTTAAGCCATCAGATCTTGTGAGAAGTCATTCACCGTCAGGAGAACAGCATGGAGAATCCACTCCTACGATCCAGTCACTTCCCACCAGGTCTCTCCCTTGACACACAGGGATTACAATTTGAGATGAGATTTGGGTGGGGACACAGAGCCAAACCACATCAGAGAGCTGTTTGTTTTACAATGTATGTAACAGTTTTGTGATAACAGTTTTATGTTTTCAGTCGTGCCACATTCATATAGAGAACATACCGGCATTACAGAGCCTTGAGTGAGATTTCACATAGCTCAGATGCCGAAACACAAGTCTTAATAAAACCACTGGGTAATGTGTGCTCCATGTGAAGGGTGTGTTTCTACTTCGTGCCATTTTATTATATCACAATATAAACACAAGCATGGGGCATAAAATATTGGGGGGAAAAGGAAATACTGGGAACCCCATGATGTATGCATTAGCTTGTAAGCCAAGGAATAATGAGGAAGAGGAGGATGAGAAGTCATTGTCTGTGGCTCCTTAGAAAAGAAGCAACACACTGGAGTTAAAATGAAGTGGAACACTCTTTTACCTTCCTCCTCTATGTCTATAGACACTGATACGTGTCCCAGATTCCAGGTATACCTCTCCATTGTTCCATATTCTCAACGCTGAGCATAGCACCTTGCATGTGGTACATGGATATTTATGGATGGTGTGTTAGTTTCCTAGGGTGACCATAACAAAGTATCACAAACTGTGTGGTTTAAAACAATAGAAATTTACTATCTGACACTTCTGGAGACTAGAAGTCTAAGATCAAGGTGTTGGTGGGACATACTACTTCTAAACATGCTGTAGAAGTCTCCTTTCTTATCTCTTCTAGCTTCTGATGGTTGGTGGTAATCCTTAGCATTCTTAGGCTTATAAATGCATCGCTCCAATCTCTGCCTCCATCTGTTCATGCCCTTCTTTTCATTATCTGTATCTCCATCTCCAAATTTCCCTTGTCTTTTTTTTTTTTTTTTTTTTTTTTTTTTGAGACGGAATCTCACTCTGTCACCTAGGCTGGAGTACAGTGGTGCAATCTCGGCTTACTTCAACCTCCGCCTCCCTGGTTCAAGCTATTCTTCTGACTCAGCCTCCCGAGTAGCTGGGATTACAGGCATGTGCCACCAAGCCCAGCTAATTCTTGTATTTTTAGTAGAGATGGGGTTTCATCATGTTGACCAGGATGGTCTCGATCTCCTGACCTCGTGATCCGGCCGCCTTGGCCTCCCAAAGTTCAGGGATTACAGGCGTGAGCTACTGCGCCAGGTCAATTTCCCTCTTCTTGTAAGGATGATAAGGACACAAGTCAGATTGGGTTCAGGGCCCTCTCTAATACAGTATGACTTAATCTTGACTTGATTATATTTGCAAAGACTCTATTTCCAAATAAGGTTATATTCACAAATTCCAAGTAGACACGAAATTTTAAGGAACACTATTCAACCCAGTACAGATGGTGATATTTTTTTGTATTTTTTCTTTGTTTTTGTTTTCCGCAATGTGCCAAGGGCTACATTATACACACAGAAAAGTGGAGAGGTTCCTGTACTTTCAGATATAAGGATTTAAAATATTGTAGTGCTGATGTGGTGGCCTGAACTTTAATGGATAAAAGGTATTAAATGGCATGCAGTGATGAGGTGTGGCAACATCACCCATCGCCACTATCCATAAGCAGCAGTTTTACACATTAAAGCCACCCTCAACAGTATGCTTGTACTGTATACAGAATTTAAGTTTGAAAATGACCAGAAAGGTTTGAGGTACTTCTACATTTGCCAGAACCTTGATCTCCTGTAGAGTCTGAGAAATCAAAGATTACCAGGTATGTCTGTGCTTATTCAGCCCCCAATGTGTGGTGCAGTGTAGATCCTGATTCTTCATTGAATGAATGTAAAGTGTGGCCACAGGGAAATGAGATGGTTGTGTGGCTTTATAGAAATTTCCTCTTATTACTTTATGGCCTCAGTGTGATTTCATAGTTGTTTTCTGCCACTGGTAAATGTTTGAGGGGTAGAAATTATTTGGCCTGTTTTGGAAACAGCAGAGTGTAATAGAATAAAATATAGATTTTGGCTTTGAAAGAAACAGGGCTCAAGATCCAATGCTAAGATTTATTAACTTTGGGTAAGTAATTATCCACTGTTCGTTTTGTTTGCTTTATTTTTTAATATAGAGATAATAAGAACCTATTCTCAAAGTGTTACTTTTTTTTTTTTTGAAACAGAGTCTCATCCTGTCAGCCAGGCTGGAGTGCAGTGGCGTGATCTCGGCTCACTGCAACCCTTGTTTCCTGAGTTCAAGCGATTCTCATTTCTCAGCCTTCTGAGTAGCTGAGATTACAGATACGCACCACCACACCCAGCTATATTTTTTGTATTTTTAGTAAAGACAGGGTTTTGCAATGTTGGCCAGACTGTTCTCGAAGTCCTGGCCTCAAGCGATCTGCCTGCCTTGGCCTCCCAAAGTGCTGAGATTACAGGCTTGAGCCACCGTGCCCTGACGTGTTAACCATATTAAATGAGGTAATATATGTAAACACAGTAGCTGCATAGGAAATAGTCCTTTCATTCGTATTTTGGTTACTTGTCATTTGTTTAGCTGAAACTTAAAATACAAAGTAAAACAAATACACAAAATACTAAGAAAGCAGAATTAGTAAATGCAACTATGCAACACTGAAGGAGAATTTTCCTGCAGAATCAGAATCTATACAGCATGTTAACTTGCAATATTGCCTGGCTTGCAAAATCTCAAATACGTAGCCTCAGCAGGACACCAGCTGGGCCCATAAATGTTGACATTTATGCTCTGTTGGCCTGGTTTTCTCTTGTTGACCTTCTGGAATTATATAAGGCATTCCTGACGCAATGAAGCCTCCCCAGCTGAACCTTCCTGTCTCTTACGTTGCCTAGTTTCTGTGAGAGTTTGTTTGGGTGAGAGTCTCCAGGAATCACTGTCAGGCAGGTGACAGACAGCCCATGATATCATCACTGGACCTGGTCACTGTCTTGTGATTGCAAAGGGAGATAGAAGGTGAGATATACCAAGGGAGATGATTTGGAGACTCAGATTTCTGCTTCAAAATTTTGATTTTCAGGAATGGAGTAGGGCCCAGGAATTGACATTTTAAAAGCCCTTTAGGGATTGTTGATCTAGATAATCCACATGCCTATCTTTGAAAAACCTTAGGATGGAAATAAATATAATATGTAGTCAGAGTAATGAAGAATCCTGAGATTAGGATACATTCCAAAAGTAAGGAATAACATAAACTATGGAGCACATTTCATTTCTCCAATTCATATAGAAGTATGTTTTTAAAACGCAGGATTAAGGAAACTAGCAGGCTTCTTGTCTCTATTGAAATAAAATAGATGTTTCAGAAAAATAGTTGAGTCTGAAATGCCGCAAATCAAATGAGGGTAACTATGCTTCATTTGTCGTTGCTAGCTTAAATCATGGTTCTTTACAGAAGGGAGAGTTTGGCAAAAAAAATATAGAAACATGCGATTCATAAAAAAATCAGTAGAGTTTAGCACCTTTGAGAGAACTCTAATTTGAGATGGTAGACCTTGAGTCTTACCGGGAAGTATCCTCAGCCAGTGAAACACACCTTTCTAGTTTTCATGCTTCATTGAAAACATATGTCGAAAATACCTTATTTAACTCTCTCCAAGTCCTCAAAAATAAAGCCTTCTGAGTAGACTTTTCTATACATTGGAAGAACACTGTGTCCAATTCTAGCTTTAGAGCTAAAAGTATTAAAATTATAGATTTTGGCTCTTTAAACTTGCCTACTGAATGGAACTTGGTCAGCCTGATTTAAGCCTAATTTAAGCCTGTGTTAAGCCTAATTTTATTCATCTTTAGAGCAGCAGCTGCTTTTTGCTTACAGACTAAGTAGTGTAGTAAGTAGTTAATAAGTTTGCGCAGAATGGAGTAGAGTGGAGTGGAATGGAATGGAATACAGTGGAGCGAATGGAAAAAATGGAATGAGATGGAATGGAAAGGGATGGAATTGAGTGGAGAGGAACGATACAGCATTGAATGCCTGAGTTTGACCTTGAACAATTCAAGATGAATTGACAGCATCATGTTTCAAAGCCCTACGATGTGAAGCTGACTGTGATCAGGGATACTTCACCAAACTTCTGCCCCTCATGGAGGTCCTGTCTGAAGCTGCAGCACCATCCCCTGCAGGCACTGGGCTATTTCTGAGGTTTCAGATGGGCTCGTGGTTCTCCTGGGCTGTGATCTGCCAGGGTGTGTGCTCTGGGAAGATGTGTCCTACAGGCAGTCATTCAGCAGCCCCTCATGAACACAGTACTTCATGAAGCACTGGAGGGCTGAAAATGGAAAGGGCACTTATGGCTACAATTGTCACCATTCTATACCTGTGTCACATTATCCCTTAGAAAGGCACCATAATGTAGTGGTCAGGAACTGGACTTATCAGATGATTTGGTTTTCAATATGGGCACTATCACTACAGCTATGGACTCAAGCAACTTCTTAAGATTCACTTTACCTTTATTTCCTCACCTGCAAAATGGGAATAGTACATTCATCAAAATCCCATTAAAATTAAATGAAAATAAAATCCATAAAAGTCTTTATCATATTCCCTGTTCAGGATAAATACCATATGAATGCTAGTAATTTATTTAAAGAACAAGATATTACTGATATGCTCTTCTAGTGCACTGCAGTGTCTGTAAAGACAACATCGATCTCCCCATGTGTTCCACAAGCAATATATTTGTCTTCACAGAAATAATTAGAGCTAACATTTGATATATGTGTACTTTATACACATTGCTATGCTATGTTTTATGTGCATTTGACACCAAATTATCACAGGTTTTATACAGTAGGTCCTATTGCAATTTTATAAAGAAGGAAACTGAGGCACTGAGATGGTGAATAACTTATCAATAATCATATATTTAGTGTGTGACAGAGCCGTAATTCAAATACAGTAGTCTAGCCAAAGGTCATATGGTTAAGTACTACTCTACCCTACTGTTACCATCATTTAAGTAGCTTTAGGCTTTTTCAGTTTCTGTAAAGCTTTCTACAGGAACCATCTATCCTGTATCTAATGTGTCTGCTTCTATGGCTTTCCAGAGCTCAATGGCTATTCACAGCACTTGATTGACTATGAATCTTTTTACTTTCTTGTAACTTCCTAACATGATTTGCAGGAATTGGTCCAGATTCATTTCTTTTACATCGTCTAGCCTCAATTTCTTAATAAATGGGTTTTATAGTATTCGCTGAGAAGGAATAAGTAAAATACCTAGCTAACACAGTACCTGAAATAAATAAGGGACTATTAAAAGTTTTTTTCTGTTTTTCCTTATTAAGTATCCATACTTACCCCACAAATAAATTTCTGTTAGTTTAAAATCAACATGGCTATTCTCCAGAAAGGTATCCTTGATCATGATACCTTCTTGTGACTTATTTAATTTGTGTTGGAAATAACAGATGGAAATGGTCTAAAATGGGGTAAAATAATTCATCCGGTCTTCAGGCTAGACAAGCTATTGGTTCTGGACCACATTTTGGTGTCATCTATATTTGACTCTTTTAGTCTTTAAAAATCAGTCAACCCATTAAGCAAACAATTTGCTTTTAGTCCTTTTAGTGATATTATTTCAAAAGGGGGAGATTTTGAATAGCAAACAGAGCAGGAATAGCATCGTGTTGTATACCTGAAATACATACAATAAAATTTATTTAAAAAATGAAAATTCTAACAGTTTAAGTGAGAGAGCATATATTCATGATATGGCATTTCATAGCTTTTATTTTGATACTTAGAAGTATTGCTACCTTCATGATTTACAGACTTTAAACATCAATAATTGGCTCTCTAAAATGGATTTTAAACTTCTTTGGAAGCAGGTACTATATAGCTTGGGACAATATTATTGTTGGTTCTGGCTGGCAGGTGTAGAAGAGTATATATATACATATGTATATATACATATATATACACACTCACACATATGTATGTATTTTCTCTTTAATTAATTAGCTTTTAATAGGAAATCTAACAACCTTGAGATGCAATTTAGAAAAGGAATAAAAGCTATTTTTAAAAATCTTGGATAATATAATATGGTAGATTCCTGTAATTTAAAACAAACGCCAAGGTTAAGTAGAATGCATCCCCTCCAGAGATCCATATAATTTAGAATATGTTTCAGTTAGCAGGCTTAACACTGCTGCCTGCCCATCAGCCACTGGGAAAATAATAAAAACCTAAAGGCAAGTGGCTACACTAGCTTGTCAGCAAGTTCATACATACAGATTGATTTTAACCTTCTCTGATTTAGAGATACTTCAGATGAAAAAAGCTTATATTAATTATTGAAACAAAATTTTAGTGGGGAAAGTATCTACTGACTTGTGAGACCAGAATGCTGCTATGTGTGGTGTTACAGTTCATATTTCTGAGATTTCCCTCTGCCTGTGTGCTTCCCACTGTGGTCTTTCAGCATGCACAACAATGGAGAGAAACTTTTCCTGTGCATTTCGAAATAACTTGGTGTTTTTATTAAAGTAGTATTTTGTTGTAATAAAAAATGTATCTATTATTAAGTATGTTCATGAACATCACTACAAAATAAGATGATTGCAAGAATTGTTTTTAAAATGCAATTGCATGAAAACACACCTAATATCTTAGGCTTCATAACAAAGAAATGCAGTTTTATCATTGGTCTTATGTAATAATTATTAACCTCAGAAGAACCCCACATATTTTTGCAGTGAAGAAAACCTGATTTTCAAAATGTAAATGTGCATCTATCTCATTATATCTCTGCATTTATATATACATATTCCTTTTTCTCTATCACAGCGACTTCGTTTTGCAGTTAAGTGTTCCAAGACTCAAAGTATACTGACACATCAGAAATGATTTTCTGAAAATATTCAGAAAATATGTATCATGCACCGAACACTCTGACAGTTGCTGAAAATAGCAAGGCACCCTCAATTTCCTACCCACCTCATTCCTAACTTACTTCATATAATTATTTTTTACATCAAGGCTTGAAAGCATAAGACTTTCTTGTACTTTGACTTTACATTATATTATTGCTGACAATTAACTACTTCATGTATTTAACACCTAAAGTAGAATAAAATAATATATTTAAAATACTAGGTTAAAAAAAATAATCTTACCTCCAGGCAATAACTTTTTACTTTTTTTCAACCCCATTGTCATCATTATTATTTCAGATTCAAGATTCTTGCCCTTTCCTGACATTATAGTAAATAACAAGTTAAAGAAACTGCAGCTTTAGGCCGGGTGCGGTGGCTCACGCCTGTAATCCCAGCACTTTGGGAGGCCCAGGTGGTTGGGTCATTTGAGGTCAGGAGTTCCAGACCAGCCTGGCCAACATGGCAAAACCCCATCTCTACTAAAAAATACAAAAATTAGCCAGGCATGGTGGCCAGCACCTGTAATACCAGCTACTCAGGAGGTTGAGGCAGGAGAATTGTTTAAACCCAGGAGGTGGAGGTTGCAGTGAGCTGTGACTGTGCCACTGCACTCCAGCCTGGGCAACAGAGAGAGACTGTCAAGAAAGAAAGAAAAAGGAAGGAAGGAAGGGAGGGAGGGAGGGAGGGAGGGGGAGGGGAAGGGAGGGAGGGAGGAAGGAAGGAAGGAAGAAAAGAGAGAGAGAGAAAGAAGGAAAGGAAGGAAGGCACTGCAGCTTTCAAAACTACTTCCCAATTTCCTCTGTCACCCCTCTAATTCTAGATGAGGCAAGATAAGCAGGTTGGTTTTCACTTGGAAGCCTAGAATTGCAAGCTTGCAAGCTGAAAGAGCAGGTTAGTGCTCCTGACTCCCTAAAAACCAAATAGCCAGGCTTTTCCTTCTGCAAGTAGTCATGATTTTTATTGGGAGAGAAATGTTTTGACTTGAGCCCTCAACTTAGCTTTTAAAGATTACAGTTCCAAGCTGTGAACATTGGATCTGGATATACATGCACCTATCTTGGAGCTTCTGGAAAACCAACCCTGTGGCCTTTGCTTAGACCCAGGGCAGATAGTTCAGTGTCTTAGCTGTGAGTGTAGCTCATACCTTTGCTTATGCTCTGGTGATCTGTCCTGCCATCCTCAACTTACTGATTGTGGACACAGCTGTCTGTTGATGTGCAAGTGCTGAGAAAGCCAGGACTTGGTCCATCTTGTTTAGTCTGATCCTTAAAAATTATCAATAAATATTTACTGAATGAATAAACAAATAAATTAATATACTTATTTTATTGTGGTACTTGGAAGCTTTTGATAACTCCTTATCCAATGATATAGAATTAGCTTAAACAATGAGTCCTATGTAGCTTTTAAGACATTTACAAAGAGCTGAGAGCTCTCATGGTCTATGCGTTGCCTTCCTTGTGCATTAATATATTATATCAACAATTATTTGCCCAATTTTTACCAAATTTTTGCTGGTATCTTAAAAATTATTTTGAAAAGTTATACACATTTATTCAGACTGTATTTTCCTAAGTATTGATATATTATAAAATAGAAAGAAAAGCAAATATTTAAAGAATAAAAACTTTAAAGACAACTACTCACCAAACTGAATTGTAAATAAAATGTTTTAAAGAATAATACAGTCATGTTTGTGACATTTGTTTACTCCCAGTTTCAGGGTTGTGTAGGGCTCAAGACTGTAGCTAGAGCTGTATAACCTAGGAAACAAAAGTACATTATGTATTTGACAGCAGATTTTTTTTGCCACCAAAAATTATAAGGAGAAACACATTTGATCCGGAATATTCATTGAAATATCTTAGTGCTTCATACAAATTGAGGTTAAGAAACTTGCCCTTTCCCTATAAGACTGTCTGAAAAGTTAGCATGGTCATGACACCTTATACTGCTGTTTGGAAGATTAGATGCGCTCAATTGTAGACTGTATACAGCGCACTACAAAGTGCCTGATGCCTAATAAGTGATCAATATGTGCTAGCTATTATTTACCACATAGTGGAATGATGACAGAATGAAAAGTCTTCAGAGTTCCTCGCGAACTGTGTTTCAATTCATTAGATTGATCAAACGTTCAATCCTCTCTATTCACTGAACATGATCAAAGCTTAAGTTTTCAAGACATGCCATGATGTATTTCATGTTAAGAAAGGCCAGATAGCCTCAGATTCACAAAGCAATAGTACACTTGTATTTTATCTCATAATACCTGAGATCATGCAAGAGAGACCATAATGATGATAATGCCTCTCTTGACATTCTCTCTTGAGAGATTTCATGGTCTCTTCCCATCTCTTTCTGCTTATATCCTGAAATGGAATCCAAGGATTTACTACCATCCAGGGTGTCTTAAAAAGTATAACAAGGATAGAAGGAGGTCTGAGAATATTTTATTATAACAAACCCTCTTTGAAGAAAAAGAAGATAAAAAAAACTAAGATTGATTTCTATACAATTTTATGGCACATTCCATTAGTTTCAGCTCCAACTCATCCTGTTATCTCAAAACTGAATTATCTCAGCTGTAGTGTGAACTTTTCCACTTCCTGAACTTATCTTAACCTGAGGAAGTGTGCTTTAACCACTGTCTGGAACTTGTACATATCCTTGGTACTTGATGTTCCGTCACTGAGTGAGCTGTGGACACAGGTGTTCTTAATGTATTTTGCACCCTTTCTCCTCTTCTGCAGTTGCACAGTTTGTATTATCATTTCCCTTCCTATTCTGTCTTGATTCTGGGCTGAACTTAATCCATTTGTCTATAGTAGGGGTCAGCAAATAATGTCTATGGGCCAAATCCATGCTGCTGCCTATTATGGTAACTGCTGAATTAATCTTGATTCTATTCCAGTCTCCTTAGTCTTCATTCTCCTAATTCAAAAATAGCTGCTGCACTGTATCTTCCTTCATGCTCTGGGCAGGAGGAAAGAACAGAAGCAATATGGAGGAAGGGGCAAAACCTGTAAAAGGACAGCAAAACTTTTGCAGAAATCCTAAGCAGGCTTTTCATTGGCCGAAAGCCATGCCACATGACCACTTGTAAGGGTGCAAGAACTTGCAGCTTAGCTGTAGTGTTTGCCACAACCCCCAAAATTGAATTTCCCTTCCTTCCTTCCTTCCTTCCTTCCTTCCTTCCTTCCTTCCTTCCTTCCTTCCTTCCTTCCTTCCTTCCTTTCTTCCTTTCTTCCTTTCTTCCTTTCTTTCTTTCTTTCTTTCTTTCTTTCTTTCTTTCTTTCTTTCTTTCTTTCTTTCTTTCTTTCTTTCTTTCTTTCTTTCTTTCTTTCTTTCTTTCTTTCTTTGTTTTTTATGAGACAGAGTCTCCCTCTGTCGCCCAGGCTGGAGTTCAGTGACGCGTTCTTGGCTCACTGCAACCTCCACCTCCCAAGTTTAAGTGATTGTCCTGTCTCAACCTCCTGAGTAGCTGGGACTATAGGCGCCCGCCACCACACCCAGCTAATTTTTGTATTTTTGGTAGAGACAGGGTTTCACCACATTGGCCAGGCTGCTCTCAAACTCCTGACCTCGTGATACACCCGCATCGGCCTCCCAAAGTGCTGGGATTACAGGCATGAGCCACCATGCCCGGTTGAGTTTCTGTTTCTATGGAGGAAAGCAAACATGAACTGTTGGAGGAAATCAACATGAACTGTCGCTGGTCAAGCATTGTACAATCATTCCAAAAACAACAACAACAATAACTCAAATCCCAGATTGTTTTATTTGAGCCACAGGTGAGTCTCTAAATGAAGTTTAGAGACTGCAAAGTAGTTTAAAGTACTGCAAAGCTGAGTGTTTAAAAAAGCATCGATCTGGAATCAGTGAGAGCAACAACCTGTAATAGCTGAAGGCAGCAGAGAGTGACATTCAATTAAGTACTTTCATTAATCGTTTATAAAATTAATCCTTAGAACTCGATGATACTGTATTAAAATGAAGTGCTGATTAGGACCGACCCCGTGGCAGTTCCTTCAGGAAGTAAGGAATACATAAAATTTTTCATTTAGGCAATGTTCCAGCTTCTATTAATGGGACTTGTACCTAGGAGGATTCCTTACGGGAACAGCAAACATAAATAGAAGCAGGTGATGACCGGACCCTGTGGTACAGTAGTTAAGAGATGCAACAACCATACCTCACTAATTTTGACTAATTAGAAAGAAATTCAGATTGAATTTGCAAAGTCTGATTATACAATATTTAATGTGATTGTCCTACTTTTCCTTTTCGTGATTATACAAATCAGTTTTTAAATCTGACGTAGTTGAGTTTTTCAAGGCATTGTAAATGGTTTCTATTCTATCCATTGAATTTTACGTCTGTAACAGCTACAATGTAAGAGTCATTTAACAATTTTTGAACACCTATTATATGCCAACTACTGTGGTAGGCTCTTTACATCCATCATTTATTTCACATTTATACTAATCCTTAGATAGGTTTTAGTCCAATTTTACTGATTAAAAAATAGGGCAACCCCACTAGAAATGTCAGGACCAGAATTTGAACCAAGTCCTTCCTGCGGCCCAAGTCCATGCCCCTTCCATTATGTTGCAACATCTTCCATGAGTGTAAAAGTAATATAGGCCAAGGATTCCACGTCTCAATGTGGTAGGAATTGTTGATTCTTTCATCTTTTTCTTATTGCTTGTTTTAAAAAAAATATTAGCCAAGGTAAGGGAATGAGTAGAACAATATCAGAATAACTGAGGGTCTCCCTTAGGAGGTCCTATTCAGTTTTGTATTTATGTTTAATATAATCAACAACCCAACAAATCATATTCATTATTATCTTGGACAGTATATGTTCACTTACTACCATTACTTTACTCAAATGGAAACGGCAGCCTAGGCATTATCTGAATGCCATAACCCTTGTAATGGTGGCATCCTAATTAATGAGTTTTAAAATGTTATAAGCCAAATTCTTTCCTCTTAAGTGTGCAGATGTATGTAGGAAAAGCTTAAAGCATTATTGTCAGCCTAAGGGTAGGGGTAGACCCGTTCCCTGAAAACACTATTAAAAAGTACCCTTTTGTGATTTGTTGTGGGTTATATCTGATAAGGAAAAAGCATTTCCTCACATTGCCCAGGCATTTCATTAAAACTCATCTGCTACTGGAGGAGTGAGTTGTTTCAATGAGTAGAAGCATAGACAACCTGGAGTGCTCTCAGCGTTCTTTAATAATATTTCCTTAAAAATTGTTAAATTTTGTTTGTGGAAAATGTATGGAGTTTAACTTAGTCTCTGTAAATATGGCCTCCATTGTGCTGGAATATGAACCCCTAGATCTCATAGAATTCTTTTTCACACTTGTGTTCCTTGTGGTGCAATATCAAGAACAATAGGTGATACATGATTATTAAGACAAATTAAAGTTATAAGCTATATATATATAAATCTATATATATGAATAGATTGATATACATATCAATCAATCAAGGAAAGGTGCATAACTTCAATTTTGTTACATACAGATGAGAATATTATTAAATGCTATATTAGTCTGTTCCCATGCTGCTAATCAAGACATACTCGAGACTGCATAATTTATAAAGAAAGAGGTTTAATGGATTCCCAGTTCCACATGGCTGGAGAGGCCTCAAAATCATGGTAGAAGATGAAGGAAGAGCAAAGGGACATCTTACATGGCGGCAGGCAAGAGGGAGCATGTGCAGAGGAACTCCCCTTTATTAAACCATCAGATATTATGAGACTTATTCACTATCACAAGATCAGCCCTGGAAAAACCTACCTGCATGATTCAGTTACCTACCACAGGGTCCATGTCATGACATGTAGGGATTATTACAATTCAAGCTGTGATTTGGGTGGGGACACAGATCCAAAACATATCAGGTGCTTATTCATATGTTTGTCTACATATCCATCCTTTCATGATGGATCCTTTCATCATATGATGGCATCCATTCATATGCCATCTGCATATTCATTCATCGAAGAAAACTTCCAGTTAAAAAAAATTGGATAATGTTTTTGATTTAGTAATAAGAAAATTGCCTTATTTTTCTTTGTTGTAATGTAGTTTATAAGCTCAATAAAATTTAATTTTCAAAACAAGATAAACTCTTACCTGATTACTAATGATTATAAAAATTAGATAGGAAATAATTACTGCTGATTTCCTAAAATATGTCACAATAACTTGAAGATTGAATTTCTATTAATTATTTCAGTTGTATATAAAGAGTGCATCACTTAAGAAGCAAAGAATAATAATCTATAATTTCTTCCTACACCTCTGAATCCCCAATTTAAAACAACCAGAAGAATAGGAGCTGCTTTTTGCAACAATAATTATTACCCTAGTGATAACATGAGCACTGCTGTATTCTTATCCTTTAAATAAAAAAACAAATGTCATTACAGATTCTGGGAAATGAGCTGCCGCTATACCAATGAGTAAATTATTTAGGATACCACTTATTTTGTGAGGCATCTGTCATTTTTTAAATATTTTTATGGGGGTTGGGAAAGTGGCTGAGTATTTTGCCTGAAGTTCAAATGTAAGCCTCTCTACTCCTCTTCACATTTGAGTTCATAAGTAATGAGAACATCCTTATTTTACTTTTCAGTACTGAACAGTAAAGTCAACATGTGTTTACAGAATACCTACAAATTGTCCAACTAATACTAAGCATTTAAAAAATACAGAGATGAAATTAGGACTATTGCCTCCTAGAAGTTTTCCATATTGTTGGAAAGATAAACTATGCAAAATAAATGAAATATAATGATCTAAGTGTTTTTCCATATACTGTTGTGATTTACATGTGGTTATAAAATCTAACATAGAAGTCTCTTTTTGAGATATTTTTGGTTAAATTGCTCATTCTTTTAATAAGTGGCTCTTTATTGATGTGCACTTTGCTGGTTATTATTTGTCAAATAAAGCATGGAAATTCCCCAAGTTAGGAGAAGGAGAAGATGACTTTCTGATAGCTTCAAGCTGGGCTGCTACTGGCTCTATTGGAAAACAGTCTTCCAGAGGGCAGGAGCACATAACTAACATAGCAAAGTGACTTCTTTGCACATAGTATATGTTGAATTTGTGGTTGTTCAAGTAAATTAAGACAGAAGTCATTCATGGATTCAACAAATATTTATTGACTTCCTGTTATGTGCAAGGCACTACGCATGATGCAAAAAATAAAAAAAAAATCACTAGTCAAGCAAACAGACAGCACTCTTTGCTTTCATGGCCCTTACAATCTGATAATGGAGATAGACAGAAAATATTTCAAAAAATAAGTGATAGGAAGAAAAAGATTAGATGGTATGGAAGGGAATAACACGAGACTGACTTAGAAGGTTTCCCTGAAGAATTTATATTTAAAATGAAACCTAAAGAACGAATAAGTGTTAAGTAAGTGAAGAGTAAAAAGGCAAAACATTAGCAGGTGTAAAAGCCAAAAATGAAAAAGAACTGGATATATTCACAGAATTGAAAGAAGCATAAGAAAAAAAAGTCATAGTGGCTATTGCATAAGTCAGAAAGAAGCTCAATGAGACAACACTTCAGGAAAAATCAGATGCAAGAGCTTACAGTCACATAAACATTTTTGGGAATGTCTAGGGGACACACAATAAATAGCACCTCATTCTTATCTGATTCTGGACAAACATGGGGAAATAATAGGGAAAACATGGAAGCCAAAACATCTGTTTAGTGTGAGAGCCAAATGGGCTCACACCCTAACCCCAAGAATGATAGACACTGTTAACCATCCATAAGAAGGGCTGGAGCAAAGAAAGGCTACCACAGTGAGGCAGGTGAAAATAGGAGTGAGCAGAGAAGAGCATGCCAGCTTATTCTTCCCACACTACCACCCAGATATGTCTATGTCTCTCCATTCTTTCAAGAGTGGAGAAAATAAAGGAGGAGGAGAGAGGCTCAGACTCATACCAAACCTGAGCCCCTTCACAGGATGGAAAAAATGTTGGCAAAGAAACATGGCAGAAATATCATACATTTTGGATATTCTAAATCCATATTAATGTTTTAAGGAAGAAATACATTATCCAATATATCATTAAAAGAGTACTTCAAAGCCTCCATGTAAAGGTGTCAAAAAGCAAAAAAGTCCAGGCACAGTGGCTCACACCTGTAATCTTAGCACTTTGGGAGGCTGAGGTAAGAGGATCGCTTGAGTCCAGGAGTTTGAGACCAGCCTGGACAACCTAGCAAGACCTTGTCTGAAAATATTAATAAAAAAATTACCCAGGTGTGGTGGCACACACCTGTAGTCCCATATGCTCATGAGGCTGAGGCAGGAGGATCACTTGAGCTCAAGAGTTTGAGGTGTCAGTGGGCTATGATTGTACTATTGCACTCCAACCTGGGTGATAGAGACTGATTCTGTCTGAAAGAAAAGAAAGAGAAAGAAGGAAAGTAAAAGGAAGGACGGAAGGAAGGAAGGAAGCAAAGAAGGAAAAGGAAACGAGAAAAGAAAAAGATGAGTGAATATTATTGAGGACTAAGTCATTTCAAATTACCAAAATTGATGCATATTTACATTTAACCTGGCTCCAGGGAATATTATTTATGACTAAATCATATCAAGTCACTGTTAACAGTGCATGCTCATACTAAATATAGCATTTGACGGTGGTAAACACACACAGACACACACACACAACCTATAGAATTAATCACCTCATCTAGCACAGAGGCATTGACACATAAAAAATAAAGACCATAGGTGTCTTAGTTCATTCAGGATTCTTTAACAAAATACCATAAGCTTGGTACCTTATAAATAACAGAAAATTACTTCTCACAGTTTCTAGAGGCTGGGAAGTTCAAGATCAAACTGGACTTGATGTCCAATGAGGACCAATCTTCTTGCTGTAACCTAACATGGTGGAAGGGGCTAGCTAGCTCTCTGCAGTTGGTGAATAGTGTCCCCCCCTTTTTTTTTAATAAGGGCACTTATCCCCTTATGGGGGCTCCGTCTTCATTATCTAGTCACCTCCTAAAGACCCCATCTCCTGACACCATCAGCTTGAATGTTAGTATTCAACACATGGAATTTCAGGGACACAAACATTTATACCTTAGCAACAGGAATAAAAATAAGCAAATATATATATTTTTTACTATGTGCTAAGCAATGTTCTAAGTACTTTACAAATATCAACTTATTTAATCCATTCAATAATCTAATGAAATACATATTGTGATTTTTTTTTCATCCTCACTTTACAGATAACGCTTTTAACATTAGAGGAATGGAGAATTTTGCCTATGGTTGGACAGGTAGTAACTAGTAGAGGTAGGATTTATCTCCAGAGCTCATGATTTTAGCCACTTTGCTACAGATGGATGGGGTAAGGGTAGGAGCATTTGAGGAGCAGTTTGCATTTTTTGTCTTATTTTTTTCTTTTACTGCTTTGGGTAGAAAGGATTAGTCATAAAGAATATACTGTAAGCTGTGTGTGGTGGCATGCACATTTAGTCATAGCTACTCAGGAGGCCGGAAGATCGCTTGAGCCCAGGAGTTAGAGGCTGCAGTGAGCTATGAGTGCACCAGCCTGGGTGACAGGGCAAGACTCTGTCTCTAGAAGAAAAAAAAAGTTGAGGCTGCAGAATATACGGTGGCAGGTGAAAATGTATTTTGCTCTACACATATTTGCCTAAAACATTTTGTACAATAATGTTATTCATTTAGAAAGCTCTCATAAAGAGGTTAAAAAATGTGGTGCCTGCAATTTTTTTTTTCCTGGAGTCTCTGAAGTGTTAAATGAATCTCCTCAGTCAATTGGCATGGGGGATGATTATGTGTAGACTGAAGTAAAATATCCTAACACATATTATATTAAAATAGTCTTGTATTTTACAATCACCTGTCAACTTATTTGCCTCTATTAATGCAGCAGTAACTATAACAGACACATGTTGAAGTAATTAGTGTTTAAATTGTCTCTCAAAACTGCTATGTTTCCCCATCACCCTCTAGAGGAGGTAGAGTTGGTATCATGCCTTGAAAGACAGCTGCTTCTAAGAACTATTAAATGGAGCTTTTTTTTTTTTATTACAATGCTCTCCATGGATGAGGATGCTTTTGTACAATTCACACATGCTTTCCACATTGTTCTGGAACATCTGAGAAAGACACATCATTGAAACAACTTCCATCCATTGCATGGGTAGAAATTACTCTGGCTGCTATGAAGAGAAAGGTAAGAGATGATTAAGAATGAAATTGGAGAGAGCACTTAGGAAGGCATTTCAGTAGTCCAAATTGGAGGAGGTGGTTCTTTGGGTGAAGATAATGAATAGTCAAGATATATTTTTGAGGCAGCCACTCTGAGACTTGCAATTGGGCAATGCAAGAAAGGAATAATTAGATGACAACCCTACAACCAGATTTTTGATATGATGATGTTATTCCTGAGTTAGAGAAGTTAGGGGAGTAGTGGCATGGCAAGTAGTCCTAGGGAACAGGATGAATTCAGTTTTAGATATGTTATTTTTGATATTCTTGTGAAGCCTCCAAGTAGAGAGATCAAAGAAAAAGAGCAAGAGCTGACACTTGATAGAACATGCTGTGTGTTAAGTCCGTTCATGAAGTTTATGTCATGAATTC